>NC_000005.10:152156515-152456832 GCF_000001405.40 Homo sapiens | reverse complement strand
TTCCAAAACAAAGAGCTTGTTATTTTTAAAGTTATATTCTTATTTTTTTCAACTCAATATTTACATTTAAATTTAATATAACGTTTAAATTTCACTTCAAACTCTCAAATGCCAGGATGGAAACTGTCACATTTTGCACCGCCTCCCTGAAATCACCTATTTATTGAGGGGATGGCAGGGAATGGGGGACTTACATAATACCAGAAAAATAGAGGGGATATCAGGAGGCTTCCATCTATTACAACTGCCATGACGCCGCAGATTGTCCAAGTTCATCTGATCTATTTGAAGATGGGCACTCACTCCATTGTCCCAGTATCAAATGTGAGTGCAGCTTGAGGTGATCATTAGAAGTCCCACACCCTTGCCCAGACCCTCAGCTGAGATCGCATCACCTGTCTAGGTACTGTGAGGGAAGACACAGTGGCACAGTTTAGACACACATGGCTTCATTGCCTGTCATCTCATTCTTGGGGAAGCTAAATCTCTTTGCTTTGGAATAGGCCAGCTTCACTCTTTGGCAACTTTGCATTCAGAAAAGGACCTGACTGTCTCCCAGCTGCTCACTGATACTCTCTTTCATTTGTAGTCTTCTGTAGCTGGGAGATCATCATGAAGGAATGTTTCTGTACATTGACTTGACACTCGTTTTTTAAGCCATGATACTGCTTTACACATCTTTATATGCATGTCTGTCTCCCCATACTGTGATTTTCCTGAGGTTAAGAATTGTGTCATGGCCGGACACAGTGGCTCATGTCTGTAATCCCAGCACTCTGGGAGGCCAAGGCAGGAGGATCGCTTGAGTCCAGGAGTTTGGGACCAGCCTGGACAACCTAGGAAGACCCTATCTGTACAAAAAAATTAAAAATTAGCCCGGTATGTGGCACACACCTGTGGTCCCAGCTACTCTGGAAGCTGAGGTGGGAAGATTGCTTGGGCCTGGAAGGTGGAAGCTGCAGTGAGCCATAGTTGTGCCACTGCACTCCAACCTGGGAAACAGAGTGAGACCTTGTCTCAAGAAAAAAAAAAAAAGTGTCATATTTCTCCTCATGAACCCAGAACCTAGCACAGTGCCAAGTACATGGTAAGGTGTTAGTGAACATTTGTCAAACATATAAATGTGACTTGAACAGCCCCAGACCTCATTTTCTCTGATTTGCCTTTATCAACAGAGCTACATAATAGAAACACCTGGCAAGTTCTGGGGCTCGCTCATCACCATTGAATTGAAAGCCAGATGAGTTTCTATAGGTGGTAGCAAAATACTAGGATCCCCTTCTGTCTTCCTGACCAATGCTGCTTCCATAATGCCAGTGATGCTGACTAGATTAGGGTCCCCAAGGCATATGGATTTTTCTCTAGAAAAAATATCATCCTCATTCTCAACACTGTGCCCAGTGCTATGCAAATATTCTTCCCAAGATGTATTTGTTGGTTACTGCGTATGATTTAGTCCACTATCTCATGCCAAGAGTTCTCTCTGGAAACCAGGCAGAGCCAATATAGAGTTGCCTGCCGAAAGCTATATTGCATCTGACAAAAACAACCAGCTATGGCTGAGGTTTTTCGCTGGGGGTGAGAGTGGAGTATAAGCAAAAAAAAAAAAAAAAAATTGCTAGAACCTGTTAATCTCTGTGCAGCCAGCATCTAAGATTTTCAAATTGATAACTAAGTTTAATGTAATTTGGTATATTTGCTCAGTGTGCCATTTTACCCTTGGGTTAACTTGGGAAAATGAGGAAAGAGCTAATTGCTGTATTATCACTTCAACATAAGGGGTCAGTGCCCCAGAGCAGCTGCTGTTCTTATTAGATGGTGTCACCAGGGGGAATACTATTGCCTGTTTCCTTAGGTTCAATTTCTTTTGTTCAGTAGCTGTGTTTACAAGACACACTTGTCTGGTTTGCCCCGACACAAGGTGGCATAGCTGTAACTACACTTTCCTTCTCCCAAATCCTCAATATCAAGTTTGCACTAAAAAGACCACTCCGCTTTAGAAGGTAATGCATCTCTGGAAATACCTAATAAGATGGAGAAAAATAATACCCGAACAGATCCTGAGATCCATTCCTACCTCTTATTATTGGTTCCTGGGCAAGTTACATAATTTCTCCTAAACCCTAGTTTCCTCAACTGTAAAATGAGGATAACAATAGAAGCTACCCCTGAGGGTTGTTGTGAGGAATAAATGAAGTTATATAAATGAAATGCCCAGCCCTGTGTCTAGTACATGGTAAACACTCAATTGCTACCTATTATGATGATTATTAATTTTAATTTTAAGTATATTTAATACATCATACAAAATGGTTGAAAGTAAAGACAAAAGGTAATTACAAAATATAAAGAAGAGGTGCCTTAGCATTTTCTAAGTAAAGCAAAAAAATGAGAAGTAGCAAGGAGGAGAGGTGGCCTCTTTTTTTCTCCTTTCATTTATATTACAGTAGGTTACACTTTCCCTGTCTTTTCTTTGTATGTGAGGATGAGTGTAGTGACAAAGACAAGGAAAATTGAGAAGATCTGGTTTAATAAAATTACAATTATTTGGATAGTATATAAGGGTTTTCAATTATTTTCTCAAATAATTTATTGAGATCCAGAATAATGTATGAGAGGAATGTGACATTTAGGGTAAGAAGATAAACCTTCAAGTCTCAGCTCTTCCCTTTACCAGCTGTGAAAACTGAGGCAAGAGCCTCTTCTTAAAGTATCTTTCCAACGTATAACAGGGGCATGATTCACTTCATTTACTCTACCCTCAAGTGTCCTGAAAATCAAATTGAAAAAAATGATTTCAGAAATGCCTTAAAAACTAAAGTGCCACACAAAAAAACCTGCACATAAATATTTATAGCAGCTTCATTCATGCTATTCAAAAACTGGAAGCAATCAAAATGTCCATTGCTAAGTGAATGGATAAAATACTGGTATATTCCATACAAGGAAATGTGATTCAGTGATTTTAAAATCGCCTATCAAGCCACACAAAGACATAGGTAAATCCTAAATGCATATCACTGAGTGAAAGAAGCCATACTGAAAGGCTACATACTGTATGATTCCCTTTAAATGACATTCTGATGAAGGTAGAACTATGGAGACAATTTTAAAAGTCTAGATGCAAGGGGCACAGGGTTGGAGAAGCTGAATAGAGGAAGTACAAGTAAATTTTTAGAAAAGTGCGACTCTTCTGTGTGATATTGTAATTGCAAGTGCATGACACTATGCAACTGCCAAAACCTGTTGAGCTTTACAACACAAAAAGAGTATTTTAATGAGTGCACACTGAAAAGTCATTCAGGAAATTGGGGGAATCCCAGGATGGAATACAGAATGTGACAAAACAATCTAACTGTATTACAAATATATGAAACATCTTCACTGAAGAGGATGGTGGGGAAATAATCTAAGTAACTTTGGAAACAATTGTAATCTGTAAAACTAAAAACAAAGAAACTGTACATAAGCCTTGTACTCTAGCGATAAAGTTGTCCCCATAGTGTATGGGCTAACAATATTGACACTGCTATACATGCATACTAGAATTAGACAATTAGGTAAGTAAATGGTAGATGGTGAGATCAAGATTTCTCACTGTTGGAGTGGGAAGCTGCAGATAAGCAAAAGCAGGGATCACGAGAAAGGACGAGATGCTAGAATCATCCACATGATAATGGATTCAAATTGAAGACATCAGTATGAAGAATTTTAGCCTAAAATAGATACAGATGGATAGATACAGAAATATTTATAGGTATGATTATATGTATTAGTCCATTTTCACATTGCTATAAAGAACTTATCTAGGATTGGATAATTTATAAAGGAAAAAGGTTTACTTGACTTACAGTTCTGCATGGCTGGGGAGGCCTTAGGAAACTTACAATCATTGTAGAAGGTGAAGGAGAAGCAAGAAACATCTTACACAGTGGCAGGAACGAGAGAAGGGGAGAGGGGAATGGGGGGCAGAAGGCGGAGCTGCCAAACACTTTTAAACCATCAGATCTTGTGAGAACTCGCTATCACAAGAACAGCATGGGAAACCGGCCTTATGATCCAATCACCTCTCACCAGGTCCCTCCTTTGACACATGGGGATTACAATTTGAGATGAGATTTGGGTGTGGACACAGAGCCAAACCCTATCAATATATATCCATATTAATATATACTCACATACATTTCCTTGGTCTGTCAGATAAAAGGGCTGAGAAGCAGGGAGACTCCAGTATCAAGAAACATACCTTGTACTCAGATCTTGGTTTCCAATGCCCTTCTCCAATTAAAAAAAAATACAGATCTTAGTTTCCAACACCATTCTCTAATAAAAAGAACCACGGCCCACAGAAGAAACAATGGATTCTAGGATTGAGGTAGGAGATATGTAAGATGAGCATGGAGCATCTTGTAGTACCAGAAATAAGGGAGGGGAAGGAAGAGAGGGAAGGAAGAAAGGAAGGTCACAGTGATTGAAGTATGCCAAAGGACACAACAGCCAATCAATAATCAAAGCTGAAACTACTTGAGCAACAAAATAAAGTAGTATTGGAATATAGCCCAAAGTACAAAATAAATATCCACAAGTCTATAGTGATATAAAAAGATGATTGAATAAATAAATAAGTGGGGGAGAAGGGACAAACCTCCCATACAGAAAAATTCCAAATAATTGATGTAGATACTCTGCCCTCAAAGACACAGAGCACAACTCCCCACTTCTACAGTGTAGGCTTCACATCATGACTTTCTTCCCGAGACTACAGTGTAGAACTATAGGGGGTGAGGGGTTTTATAGTGGAGAAACTGGAAAACCTCTACCTCTGCCAGGTGATCAAGGGCAACATCGATAGTCATAAATCATGTTGATAGTGCGTAGCCCAAATGTGATGTGATAAAAATGGCACTTTACATCTGTGATCTTCCTCCAAAAGTCCCATAACCCTAGTCTAATCATGAAAAAACATCAATCAGACAAATTCCAATAGAGGAGCATACTATAATATGCTTGATCAGTACTCCTCAAAACTCTCAAGATTATTAAAAACCCAGAAAGTCTGAGCATTGTTCACAGCCAAGAGATGCCTATGGAGACATGACAACTATATACAACGTGGCACCCTGGGTGGGATTCTGGGGCAGAAAAGGAACATTAGGGAAAGACTGAGAACATATGATTAAAGTAGGAACTGTAGTTAATAATAGTGTGTCGATATATGTTCATTAATTATAACAAATCTACCATACTAATGTAAGATGTTAACAACAGGGGAAACTATGCAGGAGTATATGGGAACTCTGTACTACCTTCTCAATTTCCCTGTCAATCAAAAACTGCCCTTAAAATGTAAGTTTGTCTTCCACAATGGTTGAATTACCCAGCAATCCCATTACTGGGTATATACCTTAAGGACTATAAATAATTCTACTACAGAGACACATGCACACATATGTTTATTGCAGCACTTCTTATAATACCAAAGACTTGGAACCAACCCAAATGCACATCAATGATAGACTGGATAAAGAAAATATGGCACATATACACCATGGAATACTATGCAGCCATAAAAAAGAATGAGTTTATGTCCTTTGCAGGGACATGGATGAAGCTGGAAACCATCATCCTCAGCAAACTAACACAGGAACAGAAAACCAAACACTGCATATTCACACTCATAAGTGGGAGTTGAACGATGAGAACACACAGACACAGGGAGGGGAACATCACACAGTGGGCCTGTTGGGGGTGGGGGAATGGAGAGGGAATGTAGGACAAATACCTAATGCATGCAGGGCTTAAACCCTAGATTACGGGTCGATAGGTGCAGCAAATCACCGTGGCACATCTATACCTATGTAACGAACCTACACGTTCAGCACATGTATCCCAGAACTTAAAGTAAAATTAAAAAAAAAAAAGCTTGTCTAAAAACAAACAAATCTAAAACAAAGAATCAAACAAGAAACAAGAAGCAAAACAAGAGCATCTGAAACAAAAAAAGAAAATCTGAATATTACACGGTTATAATTTCTTATTACTTTATGAGATTCTTGTAATCACCCTGAGTGGAAGGCAGAGGAGTTATTAGTATCCCTGTTTAACTGAGGAGGAACCTCAGGATGAAAGAGAGTGATTTTTCCCAAGGTACTATAGCTATGAAGTACTGGATCCAGACTGCAAGCTTAGGCCATCTTATTTCTTCCCTTATTCCACAACCTTTCCTTTCAACCAAACATGAACATTCATGAGTAGGAGCTCTGTACATGCAGGTCACCACCACTGTATCCCCATCACCTAGTTCAGAGGTTGGCCCATGATAGCGGTTTAATAAATAATTTACTATGGACTGAGTTGTCACTCCCATTAAACAAGAAAAAAAATAGCTCAAGAGAGCTTACCCTCCAGATATGCCCCACACATCATACTATTGGTGTTCCGCATGGGCATCTGCCTTATTGCAATAACGAGAAGTCTACACATGTGAGCATGTTCTCAACAATATGGGAGCAATGTCAGTCAGCATTAAGTGACTGATATTCAACTGCATTTGTTGAACATAATGCAAGAATTTCTTGTGTAAAGAAAACAGCTATAGACAATCCAGAAGTCCTGTGCTGGACAAATGTGATGAGGATCGAAAAGTACTGCACGCAGCCAGAATATATAAGAGAAGAACAAAGATCTAAAATTTCATCATAGACAAACATGAAGAGAGATGGGGTATTGTTGAATAAAACCCAGACCCAATAAGAAATTATATAGATGGAGTTAAAGACTTTCTAATAATAGACACACTGACCAATTTGAAATTATTTCCCCAAACTTGATGTCAAGAAGAATATCAACAATAAAAATCCTTTGGGTAAAGTCACTGTGGTTGGCTTTTCTCAACTCTCCTAGTCATCTGGATCAAAACTTACCTTTTTCTTTCCCTGTCCCAGAGAGACAAAGGAAGGAGAGGTTGTGGTGGCTAAGACACAGGCAGATGCAGGATCTGCCTGAGAAAGACTCACTTCCAGAAATCATTGTTTTCTTCATCAAAAAATACTGTATGTTTGCAGAGTGCATAGCTGTAGAAAGTATCTTCTCTCTCAGAGCATGTTATTTGACTGCTTAAAATGCTCCACTGGCTTCCTGTCATACTTAATCCAACTTCGTCACCATAGCCTGTATGATCTTACATGATTGGCCCCGACTTCTCTCTCTGAATTTCCTTCCCAAAAATCACCTGCTCACTCAACACATTCCAGCTCATTGGCCTTCTCCTGTATCTTGAACATGCCAAGCATATTCTTGCCTTTGCTAGGTCTTTGCACTTGATGCTCTGTCTTCCTGAAATGTTATTTCTACAGATCTCAGATCAATTATCTCCTCCTCCAAGAAACATTGTCTGACACAAATTGAAATGACCAATTCTGAGTTAGTTAAAGTCCTCAAGAAGCAGATGCCAAGAGATTTATTGGAAGAAATGCCTGTGAGTGTGCTGGAGAAAATATCACACTGTGATGTAAGTCTGATCCCTATGAAAGAGAGAGGAAAGGAAAGAAAGTTGGGTAGGAAGCATCCTGGGCCATAGAAGTAGTTCTGATACGTTTTAGAAAGGCCTTGAGCCAGAGTCATGAGTGGAGGAGTCCTGCATCTCACAGCAAGGAGCTTGCCTTAGTATCCCTGTCATGTTCAGCCACTGGCTGGGAGCATTCTGCGGAAGGGTGATCTCAGCATGAGCATGGTGGTGGCTTCAGACTGCAGAAGCTGGGACTATCAATCAATGATGTTCTTCATGGTAGAAGATCTAAGAGTCACATTTTCATGGCAACCTCACCTTCCACTACAGCCCTGTGTACATCCATCACATCCCTTTGCTTGTTTTGTTACAGTACCTTTCAATATTTGATAGCATTTTATTAATTTATTGATTGTCTTTTCTATCCATTCTTTATTACCACTGAAAAGAGTGCAAATCTTATCTGTCTTGTTCACCACTGTTTCCCAGCACCCAAAATACTTCCTGATATATAGTAGGAGCTCAGAAAAGTGTTAAATGAATCTCCAGGTCTTTGGCAAGGGGAAAGGGAAGTGAGGGCTATCCCATGTTTCTTTTTTATGGTACATTCTAATAGATGGGCCTCTTCTAAAAAAAAAAAACAATCAACCTCATGTAGATTAAAAAGGAAGTATGCTGAACTATAGGTTTTCTCTTCCCCTGATTCACGTCTAACTAGGTTACTCAATAAACCATACTTTTTCTTGTTCTTTTCTGAATTTTTCCAGTATAAGATATTCTACTTAATCCCCAATCAAATGAGAAAACTATAGTAGCAGAATATGGTTTTACAGTGTTTTATATTCATAGTTTATAAACCACACCCACATACATTATCTCACTGAATTATCTGGAAAAATCCTACATGGTGCTTGTTATCATCTTCATATTCTAGATGAGGAAATTGAATGTAAGCACAAAGAAACCCAGAAAGAAGGAAAATGGACATATTAGGATATCTATGCTAATTCTCTCAGTAGAAGGGAAGAGACAATACATTTGGTCCATGTGAAATTTTTGATTATTCTCCCAGAGGGCTGACCTAAGTCAATGCAGTGATTCTTTGTAAGATCAGAAAATGAGTTTGAGACAAAATCTGTTATCCGACTCATTTCTGCTTGAAGTATTATCTTGCTTTCCTGACTCTGTTTTCTCACACAAAGCTGATTATATAACCCTAATTTTCTGGCCATCCACACTTCTGTGCCGAGAGTATCCTTTTTCAGTCTCTAAATGATATGCTAGCTAACAGCAGATTCTAGATATCAGCATTTCCTGATGAGGTTCAGAAAAGTTTCATTCATTTCTGTTTGTGAAGTTATTTTTTTTTCTTTTTCAGACTGTAGGCTTTAGTAGTCAGTGGGGAAAAGGGCATTTAGACAGCAATATAATCCTTCTCTTTGTTCACTTTCCTCTAAATTTTCTTTATAGACACATTTCACTTAAAATCGATATTTTTTATTTTTATTTTATTTTATTTATTTATTTATTTATTTATTTATTTATTTATTTGAGACGGAGTCTCATGCTGTCACCCAGGCTGGAGTGCAGTGGCGCAATCTCGGCTCACTACAACCACCGCCTCCCAGTTCAAGCGACTCTCCAGCCTCAGCTTCCCAAGTAGCTGGGATTACAGGCAACTGCCACCATGCCCAGCTAATTTTTTTGTATTTTTAGTAGAGATGGGGTTTCACCCTGTTGGCCAGGCTGGTTTCGAACTCCTGAACTCGTGATTTACCCGACTCGGCCTCCCAAAGAAAATAAAGTCAACATTAACCATCTATTTTAAGACTGCTTATGATGCTCATTTCAAGTCTCTATATATTTACCTTAATGTTATATATAGCACATATACCACTTATTTCTGATAGTATAGCTAGTGATTTATAGACTGATCAATCCAATTCTTGTTTATTATGACCTACTGTGTTGCATATTCCTGTGCAAGTTACCACAGTACCTATAAAGGAAAGGTAAGCTGGGATCTTCTTTAAGAGCTTCGTGAAAAGGCTGGGACGTGAACTGGACCATGAAAGAGAGAGATCAGGAAAAGAGTTTCCATATAAGAAAGAGGGGCAAACAGTTCTAGAATAAAAACAGAATTTTCTTGACTTTTTAATATTTGACATTCTGACTGGCATGAGATGGTATCTCATTGTGGTTTTGATTTGCATTTCTCTAATGATCAGTGATTTTGAACTTTTTTTCATATGTTTGTTGGCCACATAAATGTCTTCTTTTGAGAAGTGTCTGTTCATGTCTTTTCCCCACTTTTTAATGGGGTTGTTGTTTTTATAAATTTGTTTTAAGTTCCTTGTAGATTATGCATATAGACCTTTGTCAGATGGATAGATTGCAAAAATTTTCTCCCATTCAGTAGGTTGTCTGTTCACTCTGGTGATTGTTTCTTTTGCTGTGCAGAAAGAAGCTCTTTAGTTTAATTAGATTCCATTTGTCCATTTTTGCTTACAGTGTGGCAATTCCTCAAAGACCTAGAAACAGAAATATCATTTGACCCAGCAATCCCATTAGTGGGTATATACCCAAAGGAATAAAAATCATTCTATTTTAAAGATACATGCACACCTATGTTCATTGCAGCCCTATTCACAATAGCAAAGATGTGGAATCAATCCAAATGCCCATCAACGATAGACTGGAAATGTGGTATATATACACCATGGAATACTGTGCAGCCATAAAAAGGAATGAGATCGTGTCCTTTGCAGGGACATGGATGGATTTGAAAGCCATTATCCTCAGCAAACTAGTGCAGGAACAGAAAACCAAATTCCACATATTCTTACTTGTAAGTGGGAGCTGAACAATGAGAATACATGGACATACACTGGGGCCTGTCAGGGGGTGAGGTGTAAGGAGGGAAAGAATTAGGAAAAATAGCTAATGCATGTTGGGCTTAATACCTAGGTGATGGGTTGATAGCACGGCAAACCACCAGGGCACACATTTACCTATGTAAGAAACCTGCACATCCTGCACATGTATCCTGGAACTTAAAAAGAAATTATTTAATTTAATTTAATTTAAAAAGTTTCAAACCACATGTAATTCTATCAGGGTGTACATCTTTCTCACAGACAGCAATTTTACAATGGGCTCATCTTTTTCACTATTTTGCCCTGAGGACCCTCTAAATGCTCCAAAGACACAAATACCTGATAGAATATGGCAACCTCTGGTTCTAACTCCACCTGTGTGCATGCATCCTCCCAAAAAGGTGGACTTGTCAGGTTCAGGTCAGCCTACACATGGGGCACACACTGCTCCTCCCTGTTCCCAACTGCATGACAGGCATGGCTAATGGATCCCAGACTTCTCTTCCAATTAGCCCAGATACCCAAATAACAAGCTTTTGAATACGTGCTCTTCTTGATTTGGGTTATTACAGATTTCCTAAATATTTAATGCTGAAATCAGGTTATGGAATATCCAACACATTAAAAAGATCTTAATTGTTGATTCATGCATGCAATTAGTTTTAGGTATCTCATATGTGCTCTACAAAACACCTGTTCAGAAACACCGATTTAGTTCAACCTCCTCCCTTTTTTACTGATGAGAAAGCTGAGGGACAAAAGGTCATGATTTGATTAGAATAAAATATGTAGAAAAGCAGAACCAGCATGAAAATGCAGGTCCCCTTATAACTACTCTTCTTTTACAGTATACCTGCGGATCTCCTGAAAGTGTCTTACAAAGCAGCATGGGGGTCTGTTAAGACCCTGGTGTGGAACACACTGAAGAAAGAGTTAATAATGTAGCCTGTAGGTAGAGCAGTTGGAAAATTGGAATCTCAATCTAGATAATGCTTTACAACAAATATGTTTGAATTTGTTTATAAGCATAGTATAGTCTATCTTTCCAGACTACTCCTCAGAAACTGCAGTATCATTCTGCATCCTATTTTTTCAGGTATGCAGTCTAAATTGAAAACAAATTCCAAAGGAACTCTAAGGGGAAGACTGCAGTAATTTCAGCCTAGATGAGTTGAAAAAAATCACCTCTGAGATAGACCATAAATCCCAGCTATTTTATAGCTTTCCCTGTTCTAGTGCTTGTTCAAAGAAAAATCTAATTTCTTTAGTGAAAAAAAAATTTTTTTAAGTATAGAATGAAAAAATAGACCTCAAAGTCAGAGCTCCTATCAGAACAACCCTACTCATGGGCAGTTAAACCCCACATAGATTTCCCTCGGGCTTTTAAATAGTCTGTCTGCCTGAGAGTACACCAGATTTTCATGTAGCACAAAACTCAAGCAAATTATGAAGCCATTTCTTCTTTAAGGATGAGATAGTGCTGGACAAGGGGGTGATGCCCCAGCCCATGTGCTTTGCTCATGTCATCATGTGAGGTGTTTCCCAGCTCAGCCAAGCCAGCAGAGTCTTTCTGGGGGCAAGGAAATGATTTGACCCAGCTTTTCCTCCCCAACTTTGAGGTACAAATAAATACAAGGAAGGTCATCCAACTAGACAGTAATTGAGAGACTATAGAAATCTAATCAAAAGATAATAAAGGTATACATTTCGTATTCACTCTCTGTGTGTAAACAAACTGAACATTTTAAACATTAGAGTGCAGGTCTTGCATTTATATGAAACACCGAGCTTAACTTCATTTTGCTTTTCTTCTAGCTGCAGAGATTTTTTGTTCAGTGACGTGTCTGAATCTCCCTGCCTGATTCCCCATCCAGATATTACACGCACTCCACAACATTATAGCATTTTCTTAAAAGGCTGGTGAGTCAAGCCTTAGCAGACTACAGAGTTTTCATTCAGGTGGCTGTTTGCCTTTGTCCGTGTGTCCTTAGGCTGTTTAGATGCCCCCCAGGACCCCTGCAGAGGTGGTTCTCTAGAGAGATTTTTTTAGCAAGGAAAGGCAAAGACCAGGGCAGTTTGAGTGGAAAAAATACATTTTCTGAAAATTGCATTTATATAATATCTTATAATATATGAAGCATGTTTCCAAATTATTTAGTGGTTCTTAAACTTAAATGCACATCAGAATCACTTGGTAAAATACCAACTCTGAGATCCCACTGCCAGAGATTCTGAGTCTAAAGGTCCAGAGGAGGACCCAGGAATCTGCAGTTCTGTTGCATACCTGCAGGAGAGTCTGATGAAGATGGTCTACAAACCAAGCTTTGAAAAACACTGATTTACAACAAATCAGCCTGAAAATGGCTATGTCAGCTAATCATCACTTTTCAGATAATTTTAGAGATTTCAGAAATGAAGAAACTAATACTCAGAGGGATTTAAATATTTGCCCAATATTTTACATGTCATAGGAGAGCTAGGTCACAAAACCAAACGTTCGATGCCAAATTCAAAGCACATTACAAAGTCTGAGTTAAGTGTGCATGAATTAAAACATGACCATGAAAAAACATTGCTCTGTTACAGAAACTCTGTATATGCACAGGCCTGACAGAAGGAAAAAGACAAACCATTTATGGAAAAGAAGGATAAAAAGGAGATTTTTCCTTATCACCAAGATGCCAGGTGTTCCCTCCCCAGACTTTCCCTAAGGGGTCACACAATCTCTGCTCCCTGACCCCTTGATTATGACCTGGCTAGTCCAGAAATACTAGATATCTTCACTGCTATCAGAATATAAACCATTTCTAGATAAAAGGCAATGATATGTATTTCATTTTTAACCTCATACCTTCCCTTTCTATAGTTTTCTTCTGAAACCACTCACTCCTCTCCTGTTTCACTGTAAGATTCCAATTGTAAACAAGAGGGAAAAAGTATTAAGTAGTCCCTCAAGTCATCTGTAAATTGGTGTCCGGCTCAAAATGTTGCTATTAAATCTAATCTCTATCACTAATTTAATACATGATTTTTGGCAAGTTGTTTGACCACCCTAAGCTCTGCAAAATAAAGTGGTCAGAATGGATTCCCTCTAAGGACCCTATCAATGCTGAAATTCTAATATTCAGATGTTGAAGTGGGCAATAAATATGTAGAAGGTTCTATTTTGGGCATGGCAGATAATCATGAGACAGGGACCCTAAGCAAGGCGCTTACCAGTTAACCAGGTAAGATCCAAAAGGTACTAACTTAACCAGACTACAGGAAGACGTTTTAAGGTGGCAAAGGAATTACTGAGAAAAAAGAAAATATGAAACTGCAACTGTCCAACAGGTTAATTTTGCCCACTGCCCAGTTAGAGCCAATTTATCAAGCCAGAGGAACTGCAATAGAGAAAGAGTTTCATACACACAGAGCTGGCTAAATGGAAAACTTGAGTTTTATTATTACTCAAATCAGCCTCACTAAAAATTCAAAGGCTAGTGTTTTTAAAAGATAGCCTGGCAAACAAGGGGCTAGGAAATGGGGAAGGCTGATTGATTGGGTCAGGATGAAATCACAGGGAGTCAAAGCTGTCCTCTTGTGCTGAGTCAGTTCCTGAGTGGAGGCCACAAGACCAGATGAGTCCATTTACTGGTCTTGATGGTACCAGTGAATCCATCAGAATGCAGGGTCTGAAAAATACCTCAAACACCAATCTTAGGTTTTACAATCATAATGTTATCTATAAGAGCAATTGGGGAGGTTGGGAATCTTGTGACCTCTTGACTGCATGACTCCTGAGCCATAATTTTAGATCTTGTGGCTAGTTTGTTAGTTTTTCAAAGGCAGTCTGGTCCCCAAGCAAGGACGGTGTTTGTTTCAAAGAGGAATTGTTATCATCTTTGTTTCAAAGTTAAGCTATAAACTAAATTACTCCCGAATTTAGCTTGGTCTATGCCCAGGAATGAACAAGGGTAGTTTGGAGGTTAAAGGCAAGATAGAGTCAGTTACGTCAGATCTCATTCATTGTCATAATTTTTCACTGTTAAAATTTTTGAAGATGATGCTAATATCTGAAATTCATCAGCTGAATTTCTATTTCTTCTATAAATGTTTTTCCCTGCACAACAAAAACAGTGGAAGAAGTGCTTATCTGTAATTTCGTATGCATCTTGGTGGACTTGTCATTGGTATTCTAGGGATGCCTGCTATTAAGTTTCATCTATTGTGTGCTATACATGTAAAAACTGTCTCTTCGAACTATTGAAAATTTAAGGTTCAGTATAATATCAATTTTAAATTTTTAATGATGTTCATGAAATTTTAGATAGCAGCAAGTCCTTCATTTCATCAATAAACAGTGTTACAGAAAACTTCAAGTTTATAAAAATACAGTGAAATTTATACAAAGCTCTAAATCTGCATTTGCATTTCCTCTGCCCTTTTAACTAAACTAAAACTTGTGAATTTTAAATTATTAAGGGGGTTGCTGTGTGAAGTCGGTAGATATTAGATCAGGTTGGTGAAAAGAGTTCAGTTCTGTAATATCTGAATTTGTCTTTTAAAATGAGTACATATACAGGCAATAAACATATATGCTCAGATAAATATACTTGTTTAGAAAAACTTCAAGACATTCAAAAACTAGGAAGAAGTACGTTCAATAGTAGTTGTATAAATTTGGTGGTTATGTTTTTTTATTTTTTCTTTTGTGTAGAGATAATAACTATAGCTTTATTATGGCATAATTCATTTTGAGCTCCACTATGACATTTCAAAGACTGCCCAGTTTGGAAGTCTGTCATGATTTTTACTATTTCACTCCAATTCAATAATTGTTGATAGTATTACTTGCCTAGTCTATCCACATTCATATTATCCAAATATATAGGTGGGACTTTTGAAACAATTGCTTTGGTTCCCTTGGTTTAACTGAGGTTCATGAATATTCAAACCTTTGCTGGGGGAAAGAAATGAAAGTTAATGAGCATGCTTGCTATTAGAGAGGGATTTTTAATTTAACTTGTAGTTATAGTTTACTTACTGTTTTTAGAATTACTTTTACATTTTCCCGACTAGATGGCCTAGAGTCCAACATTACCTTTTGAGATGACATTATTGTCTCCATCATAATTCAGTGATAGCTTTAAAAAAAGATTAGTTTTGCTTAAGAAGTTACGTTAGAACTCATCAACCCTATATGAATTAACTCATCAGCCCTATATGAAACATAAGTTGTGTTATAACTGATCAGCCCTATATGAAACATAAATAGTTTCTACCTGCTTTTAAAAGAGAGAAGCTGGCCGGGCGCAGTGGCTCACGCCTGTAATCCCAGCACTTTGGGAGGCCGAGGCGGGGGGATCACGAGGTCAGGAGATCGAGACCGTCCTGGCTAACACGGTGAAACCCCGTCTCTACTAAAAATACAAAAAAAAAAAAAATTAGCCGGGCGTGGTGGTGGGCGCCTGTCATCCCAGCCAGTCGGGAGGCTGAGGCCAGGGAATGGCGTAAACCTGGGAGGCGGAGCTTGCAGTGAGCCGAGATCGCGCCATGTACTCCAGCCTGGGTGACAAAGCGAGACTCCATCTCAAAAAAAAAAAAAAGAGAGAGGCTTTAATTTGGTTCTAATAAATAAGGTATGGTAGTGATTATAGGAATCCAGGATGTTGAAGAAATGGCATAGTGTCTATATTTTGGAAACAGAAAGGAAAATTCGCTTAAGATAGTATGAAGTAATTAAATTCCTATGTCAGTTGGCAAATCTTTTAAAACTTTGTATTCACCAAGCCCACAAATAGATTGTGGCTGCCAGGATTCCAATTTTAATTGGAGAGCTAAGTAAGTAAAGTTTTATAAGTATTAGGTTTCTTAATGATCATATTTTGCAGTTTTAGTAAAAGGGAAATGTTGTTATACATTTATTAAATATACTTCCCCCATGAGGTGAAAAGGTTAATTTTGCTGAATGTTGTAAGTTGAAGCTACTTCATGGATGTCATACCCATTAAGTGCGTTTGGATGAGATAGAAGAAATTGTTTTTTAAAAAGTTTAAGTACCAAAGGTAGTCTAGTCTAGAACAATAATAAATTAATGTGTGTTGGCTTTTCTAATTTGTACTGTAACATCCTTATACTTTCTATTTTATCTGTTTCTGAAGTAAAAAACTTAGATATTTTCCACACCTTTTTTTTTTTCTGAAGCAGAGTTCAGGTTAGTTAATATTTTACTGCATCTGATAATGTATTATATGTTTCAAGCCTAGTGACTTTTCATTTTGATATTCTTGTGATTTCATATGCTGTATTCTTCAAGCAATAACATTATGATGTGTTTTATAAAAACAAAATTTTGCAAAATCAGTTTCAAACTGAGAGACAGGGCATTTCTATCATCTCTTGCTTGCTATTATAACAAAAGCTTTTGGTGTGATGGACACCAAGAGGACACTGAACTGTGATGTAACTGACATTGATGAACAATTCTGCTTTCAGAGCCAAGAGACGTGTGTGGAAGACTCAGGAACAAAACTCTATTATCTTGCAGATATTTTTCACGTCAGAATCTCATTTCCCTTTATTAGATTCCATGCCTGATTCCTTCTTTTACGTATTTATTCCTTTTAGTTTGTTAATCTGACCACTTAGAGCAGGTACAAGCCTGGGTTTAGGGCTCATTTGAGCAAGAGAATGAATAAGTAGTGCATCATGCTCACAACGCTTCTCTTATCTGGTAAGATCCCCTAAGAAAAGTGGGGCAAACTAATTTGAGCTGTCACAAACCTGTATTAACTACATAAAGACACCTTTTACTGAACACCTTCTTGAGTGCACTACTTGCATTATCCAGAGGCATCTACAGCCACGTTGCTGGGAGCGTGGAATGCAGACCCAGACACTGTGGTCTCTCTCCTGGATCTGTACTTACCAGCTGGGAGACTTTGAGCTTGTTTATTAACTTTTATGTGCTTCCTTTCCCTCATTTGTGAAATAGGGATAATACTAGTATCTATCTCATAGATATGATTGAATGGGTTAATATATAGGAAGTCCTTAGAACGGTTCTTGGCTCATAATAAGTGTCACATAATGTTAGATGATGATGGTGGTGGTAGTGGTGGTGATGGTATTAGTACTACTACTTCTCATTTCAACCTCTTTAAAAAACAACTATGAAGCAGGAATTGATATTTCTCAGAAAACTAAAAATTGGAGAGTTTAGTTTGGTCCAAGCTTGCGCAGCTAGTAAATAGGTTGGATATTATAGAACTCAAGCCACTCTGACCCCAAATCTTTGGCCTACACTGTGGCCAAAGATTTTATTATCCCAAATGCTAAGACTTGTGGAACCAGAACTGCAAAGGGAATGAGAAAAGATGAATGAATGCTGAAAAGATAAATCAATGAATGGCTCCCAATTCACTGTGATGCTATAATTGATGTAGTCCATCTGTGCAACTGTCAGTCCAACCACCCAGCCCCAGTTTTTTAACTCTTAGAAATGAAGATGGGTGCAGTTCATAAACTAAATCATGGCAATAAACACATGTCTAAACTACCATTCTGAATCAATTTACACTTAGAAAAATACCATAGATTGAAATCATACGTCAATGTTTTCTTATTGTCAATTGCTATAAGAAAAAAAAAAAACTTGGGGAAAAAAAAGAATGAAAAACTCCACTAGACTATAAGTTCCACGAGCTGAGGGACTAAATCTATCTTGTTCACAAGTACCATGGCTGATACCCAGGAGATGCTCCATAGAAGTTTGTAAATAAAATGCATAAGCACAGTGACTAGTATACATGTGTGAACTAGACAGCAAGTCCCTGCCCCTCATAGAATGTATACCTTGTGAGAAACAATAATTATCTCTGTATAATTGCTGGTGAACAAAGGGCTGCAAAAGAGAATTCAGGGTGCTGTGGATGCATAAAACAAGGGTGTTGTCTGGGTCATGGGCAGGTTTCTGAAGGAAAGTGATGCTGAGTTAAAATCTGATAAATAAGTCAGATTTTAAGTAAAGATGGCAGCCAGACAGAAAGGCAGAGTATGTGATTTGTCATCTCTGCCTCCAAAAATATATAAAACTATAGTATAGAAAAACAACCACGCTTGTTTTTTGCCAATCAACAGGAAAGAACAAAAGGAAAAGTCAAGCTTAAGATTAAAAAAAGGAGCTTTAAGACGCAGAGCTGACCACTGTCAAAGAGATCACCTAAAAGATGTAGTGATTTCACGTTCAGGGAGGCGTGACAGCAGAGACAAAATGAGAAAAAAAGTTCATGTTGTTAAAAAGAGGATGCCGTCACCAGACAAGCATTAAAGGCTACACTCTCCAAATTCTTTTCCAGCCCTGAGCCTCTATAATGCTAATTGGAACAGGTCTGCCATGTTTCTCAGCAGCAACCCCAGCATGAGGTACAAAGTCAAACAAGGAAAAGAGAATTTATCTCCAGAACTAGTCCTCCTCAGCAAAAGGAAGTTGGTTTTCAGGTGCTTTACTCTCTCTTTTTAATTGGCTCCACAAACCACATGCTTTGTACTGTTCTGGTTCCTCCTCTTATGGGGGAAATAATAACAGAAACATATATATATATATATATGTATATGTATATACGTTCATGACTCTATGATATTTCCAGGCATATTTATTAGTAACAAAATGTCAGAATCATTTAGAGAATAATTCTAGAATCAGAAACCTGGATCAAATCACAGTCCCACCAGTTACAATTTGTGTAATCTTGGCCATCTCTCTGAGACTCACTTTTCCATGTGTAAATTGGGAATAATTATTATTATACATATGGTATGTGTACATACTTTATATGTTATTTGTGAGGAATAAGTGAGATGATGGCATAAAGTTATTCATATCTTTCCTAGCATAGTATATTCCTCAGTCCTAGCCATTATTTTATAGTTAATAATAGAACCTTACTGAAAGGATAATGCTTTGCTTGAAGAAATGTCCTTATAATGGTGATATTTCAGGCACTATGGCACTGAAATAGGAAAAGTGGGAATATTCTGGGAGTCAGAAAATCAATGGCTATTGAGTTGTAAAGCAAAACTCAGTATTGCAATGATTTCTAGTCCAAAATTTGTTATTAACCCATTGATAGTCTGATATTAAGGCACAGAGAGGTTAAATAATTTGCCCAAAGATGCTTAGTTAGAAAGTGATGGGCCAGGTGCGGTGGCTCACGCCTATAATCCCAGCACTTTCAGAGGCCAAGGTGGGCGGATCATAAGTTCAGGAGATCGAGACCATCCTGGCTAACATGGTGAAACCCCGTCTCTACTAAAAATACAAAAAAATTAGCCGGCTGTGGTGGTGGGTGCCTGTGGTCCCAGCTACTCGGGAGGCAGAGGCAAGAGAATGGCATGAACCCAGGGGGGTGGAGCTTGCAGTGAGCCGAGATCACACCACTGCACTCCAGCCTGGGCAACAGAGCGAGACTCCATCTCAAAAAAAAAAAAAAAAGAAAAAGAAAGTGTGATAGGACTCTAATTTGAACATAGGCAATTCTGACACCAGAGCCCATGCACCTGTGCTATTTCTATTAGTTCCAGCCATGCCAGCTATAAAACAAACCCACTGGCTTCAAAAAGAGCCATATAGTATATCGGCCATGCATAGAGTCAGATTGCCTGGAGTCAAATTCTAATTCTTCCATTTACTAGTTGTCTGAGCACCCTTCTGCAGTTTATTCAGCCTCAAGTATTGATACCCTCATATGTAAAATAAGAGAGAAAATTGTACTTATCTGTTTCACTTTCATGAGAATAAAATGACATTCTGAGGTGAATGCCTTGCTTATGATAGGTGATAACATCTAAAACCTAGTAAACTTTCAGAGCTGTAAGACCATAAAACCATCTCCAGTTCCTAGGTTTTTGTTGAGATAAAGCTAGGGGCTCAAGAAGTAAAGAGCCTTGCTAAGTCATCTAGATCCTTAGAAGCTGCTGTTCTAACTCCCTGTCCAGTGCTTCTCAGTGGTAGGAAATGACTCTAAGTCATTTTGGGATCTCTCCAGTGCCTGATTCTCCAGGGGCTCCTGGAAACACAGGAGAGAGAATGAAGGAGGGGATGAATGTAGGGAGTAAATGAGGGAGAATTGAAAACAGGGAGAAAGGCTGGTATACCGCTTAGAGAATTCAATGGTCTACTTTGTACAACTCCAATGGTATTGAAGTTCCAGATCTTATTCTAACCTCAGGATTAATAATTATCTCTGATAGCACTCACCTCTGGGCTGTAGTCAGCGTCCTTTCTATTCTTATCTATTGTCTGCTACTAACCAACCTCCCAGCAGAAGCTTGGAAATAGGGAGATTCTGATGCAGGAGGCACTTGCTGGGATCTGGCAAACAGTGAAGTCTGTCATTGCAATTGATCTGCTGCAAAAAGCCCTCCACTCTTTTCCTGTCACTGACCATGCATGCCCTTTCAACACTGAACGGGCTCTGCACATAGATGCTGATGTGCCACTGGGCATTCTGAGATAACACTGCCAATCAGTCCACAGGCCAAAAAAAAACCTGCATGATGACAAAGGGTCCTTTCTGGCTCCGTGTTCATTAAGAGAAAAACCAATTTTCCATTATTCTTAAATGTCTTAAGTATTGAATGTTCTATATGATGGTTTTAAAAGTGACACCATGGCACTATGCGTAATATCTCTGAATATGGGCCCCTTTCATATTCTATTTTCTTTAAAGAGCCAACCAAGTTAATATGCTTTCAGAGAATGGGTAATATTGTTTTAGTTATTTTTTTCTCTATTCAAATTTCTACTGCATCTTGAGTTTTAAGATGAGAATGAGCTAATTTTAAAAAAGAATAAAGAAGATGAATTTCAAAAGTTGTACTTTCTGTGTGTTTTCCTCTGTCTGTTACCACAAGTCTCATGCTCTTCTTAGCCATGGAAGTCATTTACCCACTACCCGCTTAGGTCTCACAATATTAACTTCTACCCAGTACAGAACTATAAAATGGATCCCCTCAGTGGGGGACAACACTGATTTCAGAATTAAATTACCATTTTAGCATTCAGTTTGACGTTGCTTGAGTCTAGCTTTCCTATCTGCATAATCATGACCCAAATAAGCATGGCTCATTACCTTGAAAAGCAAGCTCTTTATAGGCTTGCTTTACCTACCCTGTGTTGATTGAATTTTGACTACCTCGATTTCTGTTCTGCCTTTTGTTCTGGGGTTCAAAAGTACATGTATTTTGGTCTCACCTGACTGGTTCTCTGAATTTCTGTCTCTTTTTGTCTATGATAATGTAATCCACACCTATCTAGTCACCCTCCAAGGTTCTAGGTCAGTGTTGCTTTCCAATTAGCATTATTGACCACATTTGGCTGGAGTGTTTTTTATATAGGTATCAAGCTACCTTGGGAAGCCAAAATAATGAAAACAGTTCATATATTTTGAGCATCTCCATATGCCAAGAAATGTTCAAAGCACTTCTTGAATTATCCCAATGACCCTCACAATCACTATATGAGACAGGTACAATTATTATGCTGAGGAAGCGATACTAAGAGAAGTTAAGTAGATGAACAAGTGATAGAGGTGAATTTAAGTCCAGGCAGTCTGACTTCAGAACGCATGCATTTAATCTTTCTGTTACTTTGTCTTTCAAAAAGTGGCAATGGACTAAGAATAAGCCCATTAAATCATTCAAGAATAATGGGAGAAGGTCTCAAATGATGGGAGACTATTTCAAATAATTACACTGAAAGTTATATTAAATTTTAAGTGCAAGAGGCCCAGCAACCCCCACTGGAAGATTATCTCATAACATCAAGGTGTTCAAAGGCTAAGTAGTCAAAAATGATAAATTGGTACAGCCTTTATGGAAAACAGTATGAGATTTCTCAAATAACTAAAAGTAGACCTACTATTCAATTCAGTAATTCCACTACTGGGTATACATCCAAAGGGAAAGGAATCAAAATATGGTTTTTAAAAAACCTATACTGATATGTTTATCACAGCACTACACACAAAGGTGAAGTCGTGGAATCAATGTCAGGCAATGGAAGACTGGATTAAAAGAAAAAAATACACACACACACACACCATGGAATACTACTCAGCACTAAAAAATAAAATAAAATAATGTTTTTTTGCTGCAACATGGATAGAACTGGAGGCCATTATCCTCAGTGAAATAATTCACAAACAGAAAGTCAAATATGTTCTCACTTATAAGTGGGAGCTAAATAATGAGTACATGGAAGTACAAAGTGGAATAATGGTCATTGGAGACCTCAAAAGGTGGGAGGGTTGGGGGTGAGGGTTGAAAAACTACCTATTGGATACAATGTTCACTGTTCAGGTGATGGGTACACTAAAAGCCCAGACTTCAGCACTACGCAATGTATGCATATAAGACACCTCACTTGTATCCCCTAAATATATAAAAATAATAATAAACACAATAATAATAAATGTACATAACTGTACAACCGTGGACTTGTTTATGTCTCTGACCAGATTGTGAAGCTTAAGAGAGAAGAAACTGGGACTGTCTTGATCACTGATGGATGCCTAACTCCTATTCTAAGGTCTGTTTCATAACAGGGACCCAGTGAATATATGTTTAATGGACAAGGGAAAGAAATGTTTTGGGGTAGTCCCTACAAGTGATATGGTTATAGACTCAGTGGAATAAAAGATTCAGTAATAAACAAGGCTAATAAGATGGGGTCAAAATATGGAGAGTCTCTTTTTTCTTAATAACTTCATTCAGGTATAATTGACATACAACAAGCTCTACATGTTTAAAATGTACGATTTGATAAGTTTTGACATGTGTATACACCTGTAAAACCATCACTATGATCAACACATAATGGCCATATCTATTCCCCTAAAAGCTTCCCCTTATTTTTTTGGTAATCTCCCTTTCCTGCCTTTTTCTACGCCTTTCCCATCCCATCTCCAGGCAACAACTGATCTACTTTCTGTCACTATAGTTTGCATTTTCTAAAATTACGTATAAAATGAGTCATACAATAAGTACTGTTTTTGTCTGGCTTCTTTCCTTCAGGACAATTATTTTGAGATGCGTCCACATTGGTGCATATATCAATAATTAATTTCCTTTTATTGCTGAGTAGTATTTACTATATGGATGTACCACATTTTGTTTATCCTTTCAACTGTTGCTGGACATTTGGGTTGTTTCCAGTTTTGAGCTATATAAACAAAGACACAAAGATTTGTATGTAAAGCATCGTATGGACAGCCACCTTATTTCTCTTGGGTAAGTGGCCAGGGGAAGCATGGTTGGGTCATGTGGTAGTGGTATGTTTAGCTTATGAAGAAACTAACAATCGCTTTTCAAAAGTGGTTTTACAATTTTGTATTCCTATAAACAATGTATGAGACCTCTGTTTGCTCTCCATCCTCCTAACACTTTGTGTATTCCTTGGTATTGCTATTGATAATCACTGTCAGAACTTTAGCCATTCTGGTAAGTGTGAAGTGGTGCCTCACTGTGGTTTTGATTTGCATTTCCTAATGAATATTGATGTTGAAAACCTCCTTATATGCTCATTCTCCATCTGTATACCTTACTTCATGAAGTGTCTGTTCTAACCTTTTGCCTATTTTTAAGTGTTTTTTGTTTGTTTGTTTGTTTGTTTTTTACTCTTGAATTTGGAGACTTTATAAATTCAGGACACAAATTTTTTATCTAGGTTCTTGCACAGTCATTAATAGTGACTAGCGCTTACTTCAGGCACATTGTCTCAATTCTTACAACAATCATGTGAGGAAGATCCTATAATTATGACAGTCTTACCAATGAGAAACCTGAGGTTTACAGAGATTAAGTAACTTGGTTAAGATTTTACAGCTAATAAGGGGTACAGCCAGAATTTGAACCCCAAAATCCATACTTTCTTTCTGAATTCCAAAGAGCTGGGAAAATCAATTCTCACTAAAGCAAGCTCTCCAAGAAAAAAAGGAAAAATAAAAGAAATATTTTTTACTGTTAGAGAACAAGCTGTCTTTGAAGAAGTTTTAACATGAGTCCCCATAACACATTTTGGAACAGAGAGTTCTACGGCAGAACAAAATAGACGGGTTAGGTTAATCATAGCTTGTCTGTACCTAGCATCCTTCTTTTGTCTGAGTGTACCTGCATGAACCAACTATGAAATGTGAAGGGTATAATCTAAAGAGGAAACAAATGCCAGAAATTATAGTGAGGTCATTTTCAAATTTGTTGTGAGGGAACAAGAACTGACACCTTAATGCTTCCTGGTAAAAGTGACATTAGGAAGAACTCATTCTACAGACTTTTGGAATTACTTTCACTTTTCACTCAGTGTGCCTTGGTATAGGTGTTCATATATTTTATTCACCTTGTTATACCAAATCTTTAATTTGACAACTATTTCATGCCCATTTTTCTGCTGACACTTTATAAAGACACAGAATAAATAACAGTAAATTTATGAAACACAATTTTCAGGAGTTATATTTTAAAATATTTAACTACCAATGTGGCATGGCCACTGATCAATAATGTCAAGCACCAGCCAATATGCCATGCTTGTATATATCAGAAAAATACCAGTCTGACAATAATTATTATCTTGTTATTATATTGTTTTTCCATTTACAACACATTTTTATATTAAGCATCTCATTTGAATCTCATAGCACTGACAGCTAGGCATGATTATCCCCACTTCACACATAAAAATGACCAGAAAGGTAAATTATTTTTGCCACTGCTTTCCATAGCTAGTTAATAATACAAATGGGAACTGAAATTAAGTCTTATGACTCATGATCCAATAATGTTCCACTATTCCCCACAGTCTCTGGCTCTAAGGAACAAACAGTCCTATTGAAATAATGTGTGCACACCTGTGAAACAAAGACAATACACTTGTTGAAACAAATATATGGTCAACCCATGAGCTTTAGATTCAGACAAGGTTTAAAAATTTAAAGATAAGAAAGTTTAAAAATTGATCTTCCAAAAATGTTGACAATTACTAAATATTCCCAGACTGAAGGAGGCTCCAGAGCTCCACTTGTTCTTAATCAAACGCATCACTGGCATCCTCTACCCAAGTTCCAACCTTAATGCTGCTTACACTAGTCCAAGCCTACAAAGCCTTTCTCCTTAAAGTACGATCCTCAAATAAGTATTATCAGCCTTACCTTGAAGCTTGTTAGAAATGTAGACTCTTAGCTCCCCACCCCACAACAAGATTGTGAATCTGAATTTGCACAAGATCCCAAGGGGATTTTCAAATACATTAACATTTGAGTAGTATTCTGGATCACCTATCGTGCCCATATAAGTTTGCATCTCCAATGTGATCTCACAGCCATTATTAAACATGCCCCTCCCAGCTCTTCTACTGGATGCTCTGGAACTTATACTCTGTACTGGGACAGCTCCTCCACCAGTTGTGTGTTCATTGTAAAGCTTGGTTTCTTCCTGTAAAAACTGCTTCCCTTGCTGGCCTTTCAAGTGACAGCTGTTATTCCTTTTACAACCCAGATTGCACACAGAGCCTGGAGGTAAGGCTAGGTGCTCTTCATGCTCATTACAATCATTAATAGTCAATTATTGCCTCCTTCCTCCTTCAAATATCCTACCTTTTTGGAAACATATGCCATCAAGCTCTACCACTATTCTCCTGCCTTGTGGCAGTCATCTGCCACCCTCATTGCTTTCCTCAGCCACTGAAGACCTAAGTCTCAAATTCACCATCTTATTCTTCACCCCTTCTTCACCACTACTCACCTCTTCACCCTCATCACCTCCGCCACTCTATATTCTATCAGCAACTTGACCACTTCCACACCAATGCTGTGGTCTCCATCCAAATCCTTGACTATCTCCCCTTCAGGCTTCTACTTCATTCCACCTCATTCACACACTACCATGGCCACCACTTGACCTTGCCATTACTAGTAACTGCATTGCCCCTTAAATCTTTTTTCAAACATCTGCTCTTATTTTTGCAGCTCTGTTAACTTTAGAATCTGCCTTGCTCTCCCCTGCAAATTCATCAGGACCTCCATCCCACTGGCCTCACCACTTTTTACTATCCATTCATAACCTGTTTTGTGTCCTCAGTTCCTTCCTTACTCTTCTTAGATTTCATGGGTAACCTGTATAATCACTCCTTTTATATACTCCCAAATTGCTTGCTCCTCTTTTCTCCTCTAGCCTAGTTTGGCAAAACCCCAACTTTAGTTCAACTTAACTGTCCATCTATTTTGCAACTACACTCAAGCAGCTGAATGAGGCTGGAGAAAAACTCACACAGGTCTAACCTGTCTCTCTTCAAATTTTTGACTGTCAAACTTGAGTGGGCCTTTAGCACTATCCAGCAATTTTACTACATTTCTGTAACAAATTCACTCTTCCATCCTGCAGTCACCAACACTCTCTCCCTCTCCTCATTCTCAGCTCTTGACTCACTTCTTATTTCATCAAGAAAATCAAAGTAACCAAAAGATAACCATTACATCTTTTCAATACCAAATCTCTCAAGCTGTCTGCTTCTTTACTCATAATCTTGGATTTTTCACCTAGGGAAAGCCAAACCTTCCATTTATTACAGGGTCTCACTGCCTCTCACCAACGCAAGACTTTACTCCTATAATCAACATTTCTTTCTCCTCACCATCAATTTCCACCTAAATATGAAATCATTACCAACAGCATGCAAATATGTTATAATTTTACATGTATATGCATATATGTAAAATATTTAAAATATTTCCATTGACCTCATGTCTCTCTCCAGCTATTTTATTTCTCTACTCACTTTCAGAGAAAAAAAAGTACATGTAATATTAGTATCTTTTCACTTCTTCATATTCTATTCACTTTTTAACCCACTTTGGGCAGGTTTTTCTCCCCACCACTACATGAAAGCCACTGTTATCTGGATCACCAACAAATCCCGTCTTGCTAAGCCCACTGTTAGTTCTCCATTCCAATCTGTACTCCCCGTATCTTCTCCTTCTGGTTTCTCTTCTGCCCCAGGAATTTTGCTGGATTCTTTTCTGACCTCACTAACAACTAACCTAAATTCTCAACTAACCTGAATAAAACATGAATTGCTACCAGGTTAGCATGCTCCTTATTGTAAAAAAAAAAAATGCAAATTGAATGATAGGCTCTTATTAAAAACAATTTTAAAAATAATTTAAAAAACAGTGAGACTACAAGGAATATATCATGTAATAATATTTCAGGTATTATTGCAGGAAATTTTGTTATTTATTAGCTGTGGGGACATAAAGTAAGTCATGTCATTTCTCAGAGTCTCCATTACTCCATCAATAAATGAGAAGGTTCATGTTAAGAAACATTCTAAGACCATTTAGTTTAGAGTCTGAGACAGAAACTCTAAGAATTCTTTGCGAATGAGATGTATTATTAGTCAGTAGCTGAAGCCAGAACCAGAATTGTGTGAACATTAAAGAACTGGCCATATCATTGGTTTGAGGGAGATACCACAATTCAATGATCTGTCAAATATGAGAGAAAATAGCAGCCACCAATCTGGCATTATATCAGGGCCCTGGAAAGCATGGTCCAATCACAGAACTTGGTTGAAATATGCTTCCTCCCTGCTTCTCAGAGCATGAAATTTATTTAATAGGAAACAAGGGCTTTCATTTTATACTTAGACATAAGGCATATAACTCAGAGTCAGATAAGTAGGGGGAGGGAAATAGAGGGCACAGGAAAAAAGCTAGGATGTACGAGAGAGACATCTCAGGGGAGGTGAAGACTGCAAGGGCCAGGATTTCCTAAAAATGTCACCCACTTCATAGTTTTGCTACACAATCACTTTCTGGTTTCTGTGATGTAACTGAGAAAATAATAACTACTTTTATATAATACTTTGTAATCAGCACTCAACAGTTTTTAGATAATTCAGAAAAATTAAAATGTCTATTATTTATCCTCTTATAATGCCAAATATTCATTAGTCTATTTGCTTTATCATTTCAGAGCAGAAAGGGACCTTAAAGATGACAGACCAAACATCAACTTCACAGATGATGACACAGAAGGTGAATCTACTGAAAAGAGGTAATACAAACTAGAGCATCTTGATCTGGATTGGAATCCTCCAGTTTTTACTCAACCACTGAGAGAAATACAAACAGTAAATAATGCATGTTGATTGGTTACTATGTGCCAGGAATATGCTAAGTATTTACATGATTATTTCATTTCACCCTATCAACTTGAAAGCTTTTTACTCTTATTACACATCTCTCACAGATGAAGAAACACATATTTAAATTGTTAAGTCATTATCCCAAGTCATGTCAGATTCAAATCCAGGCTTCTAATTCCACAGCCTCGTCTCTTACCACAAGACCATACTTCCTCTGTCTTGCCACTGGGTGCAGGGTAATGAATATTAAACACTGAGTATATGTGAAACATTTTTGCTATCTTCAAAACTGGCTATAAATGCAGACCTTCCTGCCAAGGCTGAAATGTGTGTAATCTGACATGAAGTAGGAAATTTGGAGGAGCCATGCTGGGAAAATTCTGGCAGAGCTACAAAACATAGCATATGGAGAACAACATGAGGACATAACACAGCTCACTTCTGTTTTCATCAGCACTTGTGGCTCCCCAGCTACTCCAGAAAGCACCCAGCACAGCAAGGCCATTGAATATATTGTTCATTGGCAACACATTTCGAAGCTTCGTTTCTCTGTAGGGATTGTAAATTTTATAGCATGAATATAAACTAGTGGGAGTTCTTTTTTAATGAATGTACCCACACTTTAATCCAGATGACCCGTACTATTTTAGAAGTGGCTATTTTATGATGCTGCCTAGGTTAATTGACAGAAGATAAACAAGCAATATACGTTAGATAATATTCTAGGTGGAAAACATATTTATAGCTTATCAGTTCCAATCTCTTCACTACAAAAATGGGAGAAATTGAGGTCCAAAAATAGGCATCTAACTTTATCCAGGATCACATTTTAAGCTAAAGGCATATCTAAGTCTGGAACTCAGATTTCCGGACTTCAACCTACTGCTCTTATCACTATAAATGTTAGTTTAGTAAGTTGTACATGCCAAGTTGAACATATACCTGAAGCAGACAGAGGGAACATGTAAAAGGAAAGACAACGGAGAAGAAGCATGTCTGATGGAGACCAGAAAGTGACAACCACAGAAGGGAAGAGCCCTCTCTGTTTGAAGGGAAAAGAGTAAGTAAAATAGTTACAGTTATTGAACATTTTTACCTATGATGAGCTAAAGTGCTAAGAATGAGTGACTTATTTACTCATTTAGCAAATTTTACTGAGTGCTTACTAGGTGCCAGTAATTGTGCTGAGTGCTGAAGATACAACCATAAATAAAATAGATCTAGTCCCTATTTTCATAACATTTTACATCCCAAAATGATAGACAGACCAAATAAAATAAGTCAGGTAAATATAAGAGAAAAAAAATTCATCAAAAAAGTCACAAGTTCAGAGTGCTGTTAAGGTGCCAAACCAAAGACTGAAACAGAAAATACTACAGTATATTGCTTTAGGTAGAATTCAGGGGAAAGTCTTTAAGCAAGAGACACTTAAGCTAAGAACTGAAATATGAAAAATAGGCAGTTTCGCAAAGCCACAGGGCAAAGAACATTATAGGCTGAAGGAGCTGCATGTGTAATGACCATGAGGCAGGAAAAAAAAAAAAGCAAGTCAGAGCAATGGAATAACTCCTCTGTTGCTGACATGCTTTGGTTGAGGGGGATGATGGCAAAAAATTAGGTCGAAGAAATGGGCAGGTGGTCCCACACCACTCTCAAATGAAGGATTTTAAGTTGGGGATCAACATCATTCTTTTGTATTTTTTGAAGATCACTTTTTCAAGTTCAGATGGGCTAGACCAAAACCTAGCTAGGACCAAAATGTAGGTATCCCAATTACGTGCATGGTGATCCTGAAAAAGTCTGTTTTCTCTTACATGTTTACCTGATAGTGGGAATGTCAAGTGAGTTGACAAATATAAAATCCTTTTGAAGAAACACTCAAAGCTGAACTGAGGGTAGGGAGGACGCATCCTATATTTTCCCCAGACTGTCCCAACACAAATGGATGCTCATTGAAGACTGGAAAAGATGTCAGCTTCTTACCCAGTTCTCTGGCACTATTCCATATCTTCTGTACAACAATCCTGACAAGACATGCAATTCTGACCTATACAATGGAAAGCAGAGGTTGAGAGAGCTTAAAATGATTTCTCTATCAACAGGGAGTCAGCATTTGTTTCTAAGACTCTTGATCTATCCCAAACCTTAACTATAATTCTTATTAAGTCTCTTCCCAAGCAGGAAGCTCTTAAGATCTTCAGGCTTGACAGTTGCTTAAAATAAGTAGCATAAAGACCCAAACTAATCTTTCTGTTAATAAAAAGATAAACATTTCTGCCAAGATTTACCACTGTTCCTAGGGGACCCATATGGCTTAGTTTAATTCTAACTAATGCAGTACCCCAAAATGCTCTGATATCCTTAGGATGTGAAGTTACAAAAGACTCACTGTAAATAGCACTTGAACTCTAGAAGGAAAAGACAGAAATATATCAAATGATGCCCTATGCTAATGGATTTGAAAGACTAAGAAACAAAGGTAAGAGAGTAACAGGTCCTGCTGTCAGCTTGACTGGGATACCTGCTGATAAGCCAGCTCTGAGCACTGATACTGTTCATCTTCTCAAGGCTTCAGGTCCATAAACAATACCTTCTAGAGTGAGCCATGCTTCATTAGGAGGCTTGGGTCAGTGGCTTTAAGTAACTAAGTCAAGGCTAACATTTGAGGTGGGGAAAGGGGGTCTCCAGATATATTCCCACATCCATTAATTTCCTTCCCATTGGGGAAGAAAAGATGGGTTCTCTGAAAGCCTTTGACTAAAGAAGCAGAAACTAGTAGAAGGGCTTGTCAGACAAAGAGATAGAAGGAAAAACAGATTTTCATTTCAACTAAACCAACCTGCCTCTTGTTTGCTGGGTCCCTTAAAGGCACTCTTCTATCTCTAGGCCTTGTTTCCTCATCTCTAAGAGAAAAATTCAGCTTAGATTATGTCAAAGGGTCTTCTGTTCTAATATAGACAGTCTCCAATTAGTGATGACTCAACATAAAATATTTTGACTTTACGAGTGCAAAAATAATATAAATTTGGTAGAAACCATAACCTCATTGTAAGTTGAGAAACATCTGTAGTTTGTGATTTTATATACAAACACTCAAATTAACTACTCTATATAGGTCATGAATCTGAGCTTTTCTAAAGGTAATAAAGGGTTTACAAGAAGCCATCTACACATTTCTCGGTTCTATCTGTTACTAGTGGTGCCCATTTGTGATACTTGGAGTACAGCCTACAACTGTGCAATAGAAAATAACAAACAAGATTGTCAGCCCTTCAAGGAACTGAGCTATGTATTTGCTAACCTGGAAATCTTCATCAATATGTTCATGAAAAACAGGCTAATTATAGTAAAATGAAACAACCATGTGAGAACCTGAATCCATTCCATTTGCTGCTAAGGGTTCATCTCCATTAACTCCAACAACCCTTCATTGAAGCATATACGTTAGGAATATAGGAAAAAGGTTTATGACTCCTGTTGCTAACTCCTTACTGCTCTAGTGCCCCTAACTAAGGATAAGTACACATTGGTCTCTGCTCGGGCCTATATTCCAGCATCACCATAGCAACATTTTCCCATCCATAAAGCATGAGATGGTAATGAAGACAACTGCTGTATAATGAACTGGGCATAAACAAAGGCAGAGCTTCCAAAGGGTAAAGGGGAAGGAATAAATGCTTGCATCTTGGCCTTATCAGAAGGATTTCCCTAGGAGAGAGAAACATATTATATGTACTTATCAATGCAATATTAATATATTGACATATATTCTTAGGTCAAGACTTCAAGTTGAATGTTAAAGACATGTTCATTGCTAATTTGTGACATTCTCATCAGGTTTGGCACCTGTGGTCTACTATAAATTGCATCTTGATCATCCACATATGCATTTTCCATGATTTTAAGTGTGCCAGTATATGGGAACTCATTTGGTGTTGTGTGGATCTCTGACTGGGGAGTTTTATTTTTCTTTAGGATCTAAGTTTATCACTTCTCCACTTGCAGAAGATAAATAGGAAGGAATGAAAGAGCTAAAACTCTTTTGCAGGTAGAGAGATCATATCAACTGGGGAGACCCAATGATATTACTTCATCTCTTTATTCCCACCATGCAGCACAGGCCTTGTACTTCATAGGCACTGGTCAATGTGTATTGGATGGATGAATGGATGGATGAATGGATGGATAGATGGATGGATGGATGGATGGATGGATGGATGGATGGACAAATGAGTAGACAATAAGCATAAGGTTCCTCTTGCTGCCACTCCTATTGTGCCCTTACGTCCCAGTTCCAGTAAGTACGTAGTATCTGGTTACTCTGTGCCTGACTCCTCTGGCTGGGCAATTTGTCTGGTGCTGCTGGATTCTAGGACTGGGATGTAGCCATTGTATTAACATAACTAGAGTCTTGCCACTGTAGCTCTCTGCTGATGGATTTCCTTATTGCTGCCTTCCTGCCTGAACAACACAAGTCACTGCTCCAGGATTTCTATAACTCTATACAACTTACTACTCTTTCCCTGAACCCTAACAGCAAATACTTGATGGCACTTCAGCTTGCTGCTATCATCTTCCCACAGTATATTCTACCTGCTGGACTAGAATTTTTCAAAGCACGTTCACCATTTCTGTTTCTATCCAGTAGTCATAATCCCATCCAGTCACTTCAGAAGCTGCACATCTAAAACTACTACCCAGACTTGTGGCAGAAGGGAAGAGCTTCCATGTCTCCTGATGTTCTCTATCTGGGATCCATTCTCTATGAAGAAGCTTGGAATGTTTATTTTGGATAGTCTCTCCCTGAATAGCCAGTGCTATATAAGACAATTCAGAAAGTACTACTTGCTAAATTGAAATTTATTCAACACCCTGACTTTTCTATTTCATGGCCATCTTCTCTCTAATGACAATCTCTACTTCATCTGGGTCACCCTGTGTTATACCATACCCTAGACCTTTCCTTTAGTCATAACTACTTTACTTCCAAAATCACCTATTTATACATCTCATTGAGATCATAATCTTCTATTCTTCTAGTTTGCTTCTTCAATTATTCTCATTGTAACTACCTGTTTGTTAATCCTTCATTTCTCCCCTTTCTTCTATTTCCTTCTCTTAATCTCCATGATTATTTAAAACACCCTTAATGGCAACTCCATTGTTTCTCTATTTCTATTCTTTGATTTTTTTTCATTATGCCTTTCAAGCAAATCTGTATCTCTATTTGTAAAACTTTATCTACTGTCTCTATGACTATAATCAAGCAGCCATATATGACTGACTGAAATCACATTATTAGGAAAAGTACTTGAATAATAAATTCATGCTTTTAAGGAACACCAGTTATCTTGTGGCGCCAAAGCACCTACATCACTCACCACTCTCCTCACTAACATGTAGCTCCTCAAGAGTAGAGAGACCATGTTATTTACCATATATTCCCAAGGGCCAGAACAGTGGCCGCTCACCAAATGTGTGTTGCCTGAGTGTTTGACCAGCCTAAAGTTTGTCCCCATTAAACTTGAAATTTTTCCCTATTAACTCAGTTTCCCCTTTGCTGATATGAGTAATTGAGTATTTCCCATTTGCTGATATGACTAAGTCCTCAAAGTTCTTCCGGGCCACCTACCTTTCTTTTATTCTAGTCCCATTAAGGGGGACACCAGCCCAAAGAGGGCCTTTATTGTCACCAATAAACTTAAAACTTTTCCCCATTAACTCAGTTTCCCATTTGCTGATATGACTAAGTGACAGTTTCCCATTTGCTGATATTATCAATTCCTCAAAAATTTCCCTGGCCCCTTACCTTTCTTTCATCCTAAGCCCCTCTCCCTCTCACCTCCTTGATAACTCTCAGCAGAAGCTCTTGCCTTGTACTTCACAACGAAACCTAGGTCACCTTCTTGTCTGTTCTCTTTCCCCAGGCAACTCACCCACACTGACAGTTTTATCTCCTACAAAGAAAGTCTCAAGCATTACAATCTCTGGTTTAGGCCTCCTTTATGAATTCCAGGCCTTTTTATCTAACCTCCCCTGGATTATCACACTGGCTATCACAAAAGTATATCCAAGCCAGCCAGTTCAAAATTACACATGGTTTTTTGCTCTAAGCTCGGACTCTTTTAGTGTTCTTTATCAATGAGAATGAGCCCACCATCCATTCAATTATACCAGTCAAAACCTAAAAATCATAATTGACACTCTCTTCTATACCCTCCATAATCCACCACATTTTTCTGTTGTACTTTCCTAAATTTCTCCTACATCTGCCCACTTCTTTTTCCTCTAATCCATAACCCTAGTTTAAGCCCCCCTTATTTCTCATACATTCCTACAATTGGCTCCAGATATATCTCATATCTACTCCTAACCCCTCCAATGTGTTCATACTACAGCTGGACGTATTGTTTCAAAATGTAAAACTGGTCATATCACTCCCATGTTATGACCTAATAGCTTTACATTGCTTTTAGGCTAAACACCAGAAAACTTAAAATGACCCATAACATCCTGCATGGTTACAGCCCACTCTCCAGGCACTTTCCATACATAACTCCCATTTTCTCTCTATACTCCAGCCAAATTACCCTCCATTTGGTTTCTCAAATGAATCATGCTTCTGCTAGAACTGCAACCTCTTCATATGGATACCTTTGTCTAAAATTTTCTCCCTGGGCTCTCTTCACCTGATTAGCTCCTATATATCCTCTAATATCACCACATTCATGACTTACTCAATCTTCTCTGTCCTGCCAGAGAAGGCCAAATCTCCACAATACATATTCCCTGAGACTTCGTGCATTTCTCTTTCATCATAGTTATTCCAATTATAATCATGCAAGCATAAATTATAATTACATTCTAATTTTAATTGTCCATCAATTTAAGAGTTTATTTGAATAAATGAGTATCCTGTCAGTAGATTCTCAACTCCATGGGGGCAGAACTGTACCAAGCACAGTTTCTGACAAATACCTTAAATATTAATAAATGAAAAAGTACTCAACAAATGGTGATGGTGACAGTACTAATAGTGATTTTAATACTAGACTAATAACATGCTTTCTTTATAGACAGGCCAATCTAGGGAAAGAGAATACTCTCAACCCAAACCCAGCTATCTTCTCATATGTAGTGAATCACAACTATGTTCCCATTTTTCTGCATCCTAAACACCCTCAGAACTTAGCATGGCAGGTCAAAGAGAAACACAGCAATAAGGATATAAAGATGTAAACGTCACAGCTCAGGTAGTGGATCTCTGTAGTTATTGCCTGTCTGGCTTCTTCCTCCCTTTTTCCAGTAGAAACCTGGTCCTTGTCTGCCAATCACAATATTAGGCAAGAAATCTAAGCTAAGACAACTCTGTTCTTTCCCCGGGGAATTTAACCCTTAAGCAGAAATCCAAAGGGAGATAATATAGAGTTGAGCCCCAGACAACAGTGTAGTGTCCCAAAGATGCTAATGCTCCCAAGTATCTGCTGCTCGGCTCCCAGAGCTACCCTCGTTTCTTTCCCACCCAAGACTAGGCTATTTATCTCATCCTTTAATTCTGTGAATCACCCAGTATTCTCCAATTAAATAAGTTGTAGAGCTTTTTTTTTATTTGCTTCTGCAGCATTATTAAAGCTTTCCATTAAAGAAAATTAACTGATATATAATCCATAAACTAAAATTCATATAGAACAGATCTTATCTCATGCCAAAAATATACCTTCTTTCCAAGTTTTCATACAACATTTACAAAAATTGATCATATCAGAGCAAAGAGAAATATCTCAATAATTTTAAAAAGCAGAAATTATACAATCAACATTTTCAAATAAATGATTTCAAAAACTCCTAAAACTTAATCATATAAAAAAAGACAGACACATAAATTGCCTTCAACGAAAATGTCATTAAAGAAAAAAGTCAACGTATGTATGCCTTCTATTTTTAAATATTTTAAACCACTTGTGGGATGACTACCATGTACCAGTGTATCAGCCATTGATCAAATCTTTTCATTAGTAGATTAGCCTCCTTGAACTCTTAGTGCAAGAAAACAGCATTTATTTAACGCTTACTATATACTAAGCCCTGTACTAAACTATTTATATTCATTTTGCCATTTAATCCACACAACAATCCTAATGAGTTATAAATTATTAACACCATTTTACTGATGAGAAAATTGATGCACAGATACAGAATGTAACTTGTCCAAGGTCACATAGTTTCAAGCAGCAAACTTAAATCTTGGTCTGCCTGACTATAGAGTTCAAGTTTTCCTCACTACATTGTTAATTAATTTAGTGTTATCACTAAAAAACAAAAACTATGACAAAAACAGCAAACCGCAAGAATAGAAAAAAAAACTATGGGAAACCTAATGATCACAAATTAGATCTTAATGTCACACAGGAAGCTAGCCTGCTCTCCTCCTTTCTGTTTTTCCTCCTCTTCCCTTCATGTGTAAACCTATCCACTCATTGAAGCTTGACTCGGTATTCTTCGCACTTTTTATGTTGCAGCACTGTGCTAGTCATGGGAGTAGAGCAGTGAACAAGTTAGATAGTGCCCTGTCTTTACAAACCATATCATGCTGATTGGAAATACTGACAATTTGAACAAGAAACTATAAAAATCTCCGGAAGCCTCAAGCATTTTTTTTCAAAGTATTATTGAAATTCACAACAACCCTGTGAGTAGGTGAAATAAAAATAATTGATGATTTTTAAATCCATATGACATTGAAGCAAACCCTCATTATATCACATATAGACCCCTTTGGTGGTGGAACTGGGATTTATATACAGGCTGTCTGACTGCTGAGATTAGAACTTTCATCCACTGTTCTTCCTCATTTTCTCCTATAGCCTCAATCATAACCCTAGATTCTTTATTGAAATAACCAATGACAAACCTCAGCTCAAAAGTCTGAGGGAGAACTAATGAAGAGCATATACCTGTTGGCATTCTTAGTTTATGTTCCTTCTGACTTCTTAGTTTATATTCCCTCTGACTTCAGCTCCTGTTCACGTTACTCTTGCAGCCTGCTTTGCTACCACTGAAAAGACTCCTTCTGCAATATTATATTCTCCCCTCTCCTTGCTTTTGTTGTTTGGCCCTAAGGACAGGCACCAGATCAATTTAAAAAGCAGGTTGTTTAATTTCGGCTGTGTGTGTGTGTGTGTGTGTGTGTGTTTGTGTGTGTGACAGATTGAGAAAGAGAGAGGGAGGGAGGAGAGAGAGAAAGGAGAGAAAGACAAGAGACAAACACAGAGATAGAGACAGAAATAGTGAGCTAGAGAGAGAATGAACCAGCCTAGGCAGAAATTAAGGTAGGAAAAAGTCATCAATTTTTATTTTAACCTGGGACAGGTCACTGTCCTTCTCTAACCTTCAGTTCCTCTTGTATAAAATAAAATTGCAAATTAGATGATCCCTGAGTTTCTTCCAGCTCTGAGAGTCAACAGCTCAAAATTGATCCTGTATTAAACAACATCTATTTCTTCCAGTATCACCTCATGTACCTCTGAGAACTTGATGCAAGCATGACTGGAGTAGTTTGAAAAACCCTAACAGCCTCGCCAGCTAAACGGGATCTGCTCCCCTGACATCGTGCCCCAAGTTCTCTGCTTTGGACATCATTCCTAGACTCACAGGAGCATACCAGTTCAGAAAGAACTATTGAGGTCATCTAATCCAGCAGTCCTCACACTTTCATGTGCAAACAAATCTCCTGAGAGTCTTGTAGAAATGTGCACTCTGATTCAGGAGGTTGAGCTGGGCATGAGATTCTGCAAGTCTAACAGGCTCCCATATGATGCTGATGCTGTTGGTCTGCAGAGGACACTTGAGTAGTGAGACATGCATTCATCTTTGTCTGGTTTGTAATCCTTTCCAGCATCCCTGAACGGTCTCTAGTCTCTCTTAAATATTTTCCCTTCAAGAGTTCAAACACTTCTCCTGTCTCAGCCTCCCAAGTAGCTGGTACTACAGGCATGCACCACCATGCCTGACTAATTTGTGTATTTTTAGTAGAGATGGGGTGTCACTATGTTGGCCAGGCTGTTCTCAAACTCCTGACCTCAAATGATCTGCTCACCTAGGCCTCCCAAGGTCCTGGGCTTACAGGCGTGAGCCACCATGCCCAGCCTGGAATGGTATCTTTTATTCTCTGTTCTTTATGGTGTTGCCAAAAGTCTAGTTTTCTATTTATTTATTATTTACTCAGGACAATTTGTGTGAAAAGACATTTCAAATAAAAAAATAAAAATTGACCATGAAACATTAAATAATGATCAACTTTAAACCAAATTAAGATGACAACGTTATGCCTCAAAAAGGAAAAATTGATAGGGCCCAACATTATCAAGGATTTAAGGGCTTGTGCACTCTCGGTCCTTTTGGTAAAACTGTAAATTCAAATAGTCCTTTTAGGAGAACTAAAATGTGAAAGATGAATGTAACTTTTCTAATATCTCTAAGACATGCTTTAAAAGAAGTGTTAAAAAGAAGTACAGTTGTTCCTCTATATCCAGAGATTCCACATCATTTAATTCAATCAACTATAGATTTAAAATATTCTGAAAAAAAGACAATGAAAAATAACACAAATTAAAAAACAAAACATTATGACAACCATTTACATACCATTTACATTTTATTAGGTATTATAAGTAATCTAGAGATTATTTAAAGTATATGAGATAATATGCATATATTATATGCAAATATTATGCCATTTTATATAAAAGACTTGAGCATACACAAATTTTGGTATCCACTAGGGTCCTGGAACCAATCCCCTGCAGATAACGAGGACAACTGTGTATTAGGATTAGTTTTCTTAATCCCATCTTTTTGACTCAAGAATTCTACTTCTATGAATAGGGTTATTGAAAACATTTTCATCCCAATCAATTTTTTCTCCTTTATTTCAAAACTGGTAATGCAACTATTACTACTGTAATGCAAGCACTTACCATGTGCCAGGTACATATATTAATTTGTAATGACCTTGAAGTAGATATTGTTATTGCCCCATTTTTTAAACTTTTAATTTAGGTTTGGGAGTACATGTGCAGGTTTGTTATTTAGGTAAAATAGTGTCATAGGGGTTTGTTGTACAGACTATTTTGTCACCCAGGCACTAAGCCTATTTATTTTTTCTATCCTCTCCCTCCTCCCACCCTCCACCTTGAGAAGGCACCAGTGTCTGTTGTTCCCTTCTTCATGTCCATGAGTTCCCATCATTTAGCACTATTTGTTTTTTTGTGTGTGTGAACTTTTGAAAACACTTTATTTTATTTTATTTTTTATTATTATACTTTAAGTTCTAGGGTACGTGTGCACAACATCAGGTTTGTTACATATGTATACATGTGCCATGTTGGTGTGCTGCACCCATTAACTCGTCATTTACATTAGGTATATCTCCTAATGCTATCCCGACCCCTCCCCCAACCCCACGACAGGCCCCAGTGTGTGATGTTCCCCTTCCTGTGTCCAAGTGTTCTCATTGTTCAATTCCCACCTATGAGTGAGAACATGCGGTGTTTGTTTTTTTTGCCCCATTTGTAAGTGAAAGCATGTGGTATTTGGTTTTCTGTTCCTGTGTTATTTCGCTAAGGATAATAGCCTCTAGCTCCATCCATGTCCCTGCAAAGGACATGATTTCATACTTTTTTATGTCTGCATAATATTCCATGGTATATTTGTACCACATTTTCTTTATCCAATCTGTCATTGATGGGCATTTAGGTTGATTCCATGTCTTTGCTATTGTGAATAGTGCTGCAATGAACATTTACATGCATGTGTCTTTATAATTAAACGATTTATATTTCTCTGGGCATATACCCACTAATGAGATTGCTGGGTCAAATGGTAGTTTCTGTCTTTAGCTCTTTCAGGAATTGCCACACTGTTTTACACAATGGTTGAAATAATTTACTCCCACCAACAGTGTATATGTGTTCCCTCTTCTCTGCAACCTCGCCAGCATCTGTTATTTTTTGACTTGTTAATAGCCATTCTAACTGGTATGAGATAGCATCTCACTGTGGCTTTGATTTGCATTTCTCTAATGATTAGTGATTTGAGCTTTTTGTCATATGATTGTTGGCTACGTCTCTGTCTTCTTTTGAAAAATGTCTTTTCATTTCCTTTGCCCACTTTTTAATGAAGTTGTTTTTTTCTTGAAAATTTAAGTTCCTCATATATGCTGGATATTAGACTTTTGTCAGATTCATAGTATACAAATATTTTCTCCCATTCTGCAGGTTGTCTGTTCACGCTTTTGACAGTTTGTTTTGCTGCACACAAGCTCTTTAGTTTAATTAGATTCCATTTGCTGATTGTTGCTTTTATTGCAATTGCTTTCAGTGTCTTTGTCATGAAATCTTTCCCCGTTCCTATGTTCAGAATAGTATTGCCTAGATTGTCGTCCAGGGTTTTTATAGTTTTGAGTTTTACATTTAAGGCTTTAATCCATCTTGGGTTGATTTTTTTACATGATGTAAAAAAGTTTCAATCTTCTGCATATGGCTAAGCCAGTTATCCCAGCATCATTTATTAAATAGGGAGTCTTTTCCCAATGTGTTTTTGTCAGCTTTGTCAAAGATCAGATGGTTGTAGATGTGCAGCCTTATTTCTGGGCTGTCTGTTCTGTTTCATTGATTTATATGACTGTTTTTGTACTCATACTATGCTGTTTTGGTTACTGTAGCTTTGTAGTATAGTTTAAAATCAGGTAACATGATGGCTCCATTTTGCTCCTTTTGCTTAGGATTGCCTTGGCTATTTGGGCTCTTTTTTTATTCCATATGAATTTTAAAATAGTTTTTTATAGTTCTGTGAAGAATATCATTGGTAGTTTTACAGGAATAGTACTGAATCTGTAAATTGCTTTGAGCAATATGGCCATTTTAATGATATTGATTCTTCCTATCCATGAGCATAGAATTTTTGTCCATTTGTTTGTGTCATCTCTAATTTCTTTGAGCAGTGCTCTGTAATTCTCATTGTAGAGATCTTTCGGCTCCCTAGGTAGCTGAATTCCTAGGTATTTTATTCTTTCTGTGGCAATTGTGAATGCGATTGCATTCCTGATTTGGCTCTTGGCTTGGCTGTTGTTGGTGTTTAGAAATGCTAGTAATTTTTTTACATTGATTTTTTATCCTGAAACTTATCTCAATTTGTTTGTCAGCTGAAGGTTGCTCCAATTTTTAAAGGGGTAGAAATAGTGACTCAGAGAGGTTAAGCATCTGCTTAAGGTCACACAGCCAGTAAGTGTGAGGCCTAGATATTTGGCAGTCCTGCTGCCTTTATTTTCTTTCTATCTCTTCCCACCATCTCTACTGTCACTATCTAAGCCCAAGTGACTGTTATCCCTTATTTAGACTAGTGAAATAGCCTATATCTCCTCATCTTTCCCACCTCCATTCATTTTCTCCCTGCAGCCAAGAGGGATCTTTTTGAAAATCATGTCTTTCCAGTTTAAAATGTTTCATTGGCTTCTTTAATAGCAAAGAGAAACAAAAGTAAAGGCCTTAGTATGGCCTACAAGTCTCTGCATGGTCCTGATCTCACAGTATGCTCCCCAGGCTCAGTTGTTACCTGTGGAGGGTGTCCAGGTTCTTGGCATCCTGAACAAAGAATTGGACAAAATGCACAAACAAAGCAAGGAAAGAATGAAGCAACAAAAGCAGAGATTTATTGAAAACAAAAGTACACTCCACAAGGTGGGAGCCCGACTGAGCATAGTTGTTTAAGAACCCAGTTACAGAATTTTCTGGGGCTTAAATACCCTCTAGAGGTTTCCCACTAGTTACTTGGTGTACACCCTATGTAAATTAAGTAGTGGCCTACAATCATTCTGACTGGTTGTGGAAAGTGACCACTCAGAGGCTGAAGTGAAGTCACAAAGTTATACTCCTCTAAATAAAGACTTGGCCCAAGACCAGCCTGATTGGCTGTGGGAGAAGACCAATCAGAGGTAGTTTCAGTTTTTCATCTGCCATGCAGAAAAAGGGGAGTTGCAATGGGCATAACCTGTGGTCCTTTTGATACTTAGGCGTGGAAAGTTGGGGTTTTCCTTTTGATTTAGTTCTAGGAAGTCAGCATGAATCAGCCTTAGGTTCCCTGCCTCCAGACCCTATTCTCCTGCCTCACAGTGGCCTCCACACCTCCTCCTCATGGGTACCAACCTCTCTTCCCTCCCTGGACGTTTGCACATACTCTTTGCTTTGCCTAGAATGCTCCTCTTCCAACTCTTACCTCCAATGCTTCATGTTGTGAGTTTCTACTCTCTGATCTCTGCTCTAGATCACATCTCATAGCATTCCTAATAAAGTACCTCTCTTGCGTGACCCTGCTATAATTTTACATTATTATATGATTAGTTGATTAGTCTAAGTCATAACCATACCCTGACTATTTTTGTTCAAAATACCTTTCACCATGCCTGGCACACTGGTGTTATCTACAGGTAACCTTATTATATAAATAATACTAATATGAAAAATTGCCACTTACTTTATCCTGCAAGCTAATTTACACCAGAACAATCTGTGTACATTTACAATCTGTTCTGGTGTAAACACTTCAGTGCAAAATACTTCGACAAGTTCTATTAACTTGAGTGCATAAAATTTTATTTTGTAATTTAAATGGAAAAGTCCCTTACATTGTGAATCCCAGAACTGAGTACATGTCAGCTATGGACTGACCCTTGGGTGAATATATTGTATCTATAGGAATACTCTGTTTAAATGTAGGTACCCCTTAAATGCATGGCTCAGTAATTTATGTGAAAATAGCATAGCTTTTGTGACATGGTGATTCTGAGCCGTAACTCACTGCAAAGGCTCTGCATTCAGACAGCAAGTGGTCAGGTCCTGTACAAGTACCTGTGGCACTGATGAAAATTAACTGTGTGAGTTCGTGAAGCATGTAACCTTTCTAAATCTTGGCTTTTCTCATCTGTAAAATGTGGGTAATAAAAATACTTCCTCTTTGGGTTGTTGCAAGGATTAAATTAGAGAATACAAACAAAGCACTTAGCTCAGTGCCAGTCGATCATGGAAGCTGGCATTGTTGATGATGATTTTTCCTCACAGAGAAGAGATGCTTAAAGAAATAATAAGATTTCAAGCACGACTGGGGCAGGAAATTTTAGACAATGGAGGATTTTTCTCCTTTTAAATAATACCACTAGCGAGGTGCTGTCTTTACTGAGTCACGTTCTGATCTACAGAGCAATCTGTGTATTCTAGATGCGACTCAGGTATCCACTTTCATAAAGAAATAATTACCAAAGCTTCCATCTGCTAGTGTTTTAAGAACCCTTAGTCATTCTCTGTTTTAAATCAGTAAAAGCCATTGAGATTAGAGCTGAAACTGACTCTATTTCCATCAAAGAGTTCAGAAAGAAATCAACAGCCACCCATGATTCTCATTGTGGATATGTGACATCTCTTGCCACAAAGTTCACCCTGACTTTCTGGGAAACTGTGAAGGCACAGATGTATCTATAAAAATTAATCTAAATCAAGGACCTATCTCCTTTGTCTCCTATAAATCTGCTAGAGTACAGACCCACTAGGCCTCATTTAAAAAACACTAGATTGATCATCAGGGTGGAAGAATTACTGTGATTAGCCAAATGCCACTGATATTTTTGGAACATAGACGGGACCTTAGCTTTCATAAAAAATACTCTCAATTTAGTGATGAGGAAAAACATTTTAAAAAATGAACGAAGGACACAAATAGACATTTCTCCAAAGAAGATGTACAAATGGCCAATAGATATATGAAAAGATCCTCAATGCCACTAGTGTCTGTCTGCTCAAACTAGTGCAAATAGTCTTGTTCTGGTGCTTAACAGAACTGAAGATAACTCCCCTTGTTCTAGGCACTCTATTTTCATTGTTGTTATCCAAGGTCACATGAGCATTTCCTAACTCCCTGGGATGCCAATGCTGAAGAGAGCTGGAATGTTATGCCTCTGAATCAAAGTTCTGTTCCTACTAACAGAACTTTCTAGAAAATTTCTTCACATTGTTAGTGTCTATAAAATAAAAACTTTCTTATAAGATGATGATGATTTGCCTAATTATTCCTTTGACAAATGTGGTTGCCTTATATCCAATCTAGTTGCTACAAGGCCTTTTCGTTTATATTCCCTTTACTGAGTAAATCCTCATTACCCAGAACAGTGCTAGATGCTAAAGCACAAGGAGAAGTCCCTTGGAAAGATAGGATTGAGAAGCCAACACCCCCATGGTCACATCTTCCCAGGAGTTTTTTTTACTCCCCTTCAGGTGGTGGAATTTTCCATATTATCCCAGATGAAGACAGTGTAACACAAAAGTTTCCCTTCCCAGCCACAATCGACACAGGTGAAAAAAAGCCTTTGTTGTTTAAAGTCACTGAGAGTTTGGGGTTGTTACCTCAGCAAAATCTAGTCCAAGTTACTGACTCAAAACTGGATCTGAAAGTGGAGCATTGCTATAGAACTCTAAAGTATATGGCATTTGTCTAGGGGCCAGATAATGGGCAAATAAAAAAGTATTATTAGAAGCTGGAAGTGTCCATGTGGGAAACTAATAACTTGCCCTTTTAGTTTATAGGTCTCTGGAATGAGAGGATCCTCATATGGATGTGACAGAGAGAATACTGTTCTATTTTCTGCTATAAAGAACATCTTGGATGTTCTCCAGAGATCCTGGATTTTTAACTTGCAGCTGTGACTGGGCTAGGAATGTTGGGGTATCTGCAATAGAGAAGGGAGAAGAGTCTTTTGCCTGCAAGAAAGAATGTTTGTGTCCAGAGGAGCACAACATATAGTCATTAATTCTATTTACCAAGTAGTTTTGGCTTTCTCCTCCTAAGCACATAGTGAGATGGTTCTTTGTGCCCTCCTTAGAATTAGGATTTCCCATGTAACTTGATTTAGCCCTCAGATGTGAATGGAAGTGATCTCTGTCATTCCTAGGCAGAACATTTAAGTAGGGTCCCCTTGGGAATCCTCCTTTGGGAATTGTAAAAACACCAGTTGGAGCCTGAATTCCAATGTGAGATCAGTGTAGGACCGAGACTACTGGACAACCCTTGATGACATGTAGAATGAGCAAGAAATAAACCTTTATTTTAGTCTACAAAAATTTGGAAATTTTTGTTACTGAAACATAACCTAACCCAAATGACTGATATACTACGTGAGTTTCAACTATTCCCGTAATCTGCATGTGCTTCTAATGGCAGGGATAAACAAACAGCCTACCTTGTAGGCAGTATTGTAAAGATTGTATGTGCTGATACATGTAAAAGCTTACAACAGAGCCTGGAAAGAATAAATGTTCAACAGATGTTATCTAGTGTTATTGTTTTTTATTTTATAGATTTTAGAAAATGCTACTGGTACTCCCAAATCATAATCCCTTGGCCCACGTGGTTTTAGCTACAGCTGGGAAGGATGGCCCTTTGCAAGCTCAGACTTACCCAGGCTGATAGGGTTGCATCATAAGTCTATGCCACATTTCTATTTTTCTACTCCATAGCCTTCCCTGACACATGGAAGCCTATGCAACCCATGAGCAAGAATAGCCCAGAGATATAGGGGAGTTATTGCCCCAGGAGCAAACCTCAAACAATAGGGGACAGAAATTGGTGGGTAAATACTGATTTCTTATTTTTCAGGGGAACGATTGAGAGGTTCTCTCTTCACTTATCAGGAAATCTCAGTGGAATTGACTCTAAATTATTGTTCTTTTAGGTTTTCTAAATATTAGTTCCCCCTCTGTCCATGGGTGTCACCCAAATATTTTTTCAAATATTTGAAAGTGATCCTCATGCCCCACTTTTTTCCTCTGAGTCTTCTTCAGGCAAACATCTCCACTTGCATCAAATCTTACCTACAAGATATTGAGCCCCTTGCTATTCTCACCATCTTCACATAGTTGGTAAGTACAGGTGCAAACCTTGGTGACCTGGGGAACAGATGTCTATATACTTTCCTAGAAGCTATTCTGACTTGCTATACTGCACTAAAAGTTAATTAAAAGCTGGAAGTACTCCTCATTTTAGCAGCTCCAAGCACATCTCCCAGTTTTTAAATCTTGTAATAGTCTTTCTGACCCCAATAAAAAGAAAGACATCCCCATCATGAAATTATCATTATTATTCAATTGCATATCCCATTATTAAATACTTATTTAAATATTATGTTATTTAAAATAATTTACACTGAATATTTTACCAGGAACGATTTAATTCTCCTAGAAATCCTGTAAAGCAATACTGCTATTTTACTCATTTTGCTGATGGAGTAACTGAGGCTTACAGAGTTTAATTATGTTCCTTATGGTCACATAGCTAGTAGGAGGCAGAACCAAGATTTGAATCCCAAAGCTACGCTGCAGTCCGTGCCTTTATTACTTCTATAGCATCTCCCTGCATTGAGCCTGCTACTACATTCTGTACTAGACATCATCCTTTTTGATTAGACCTACCCTGTCACAATGTGGAAATGCCTTTGAATTTTAGATTTGTTGCCTCATATATTAAGAAATATTGGCTGGGCACGGTGGCTCACACCTGTAATCTCAGCACTTTGGGAGGCCAAGGTGGGTGGATCATTTGAGGACATGAGTTCAAGACCAGCTTGGCCAACATGGCGAAACTCCATCTCTACTAAAAATATACAAATTAGCCAGGCATGCCTGTAGTGTGCATGCCTGTAGTCCCAGCCTGTAGTCCCAGCTACTTGGGAGCTACTGTGGTACATGCCTGTAGTCCCAGCTACTTGGGAGTTACTGTGGTGCATGCCTGTAGTCCCAGCTACTTGGGAGGCTGAAGCAGGAGAATCACTCGAACCCAGGAGGCAGAGATTGCAGTGAGTCGAGATTGCACCACTGCACTGTAGCCTGGGCAACAAAGTGAGAATCTGTCTCAAAAAAAACTACAGAACTACAAAACACTGCTGAAAGAAATCATCAATGACACAAACAAATGAAAACACATCCCATGCTCATGGAGAACAGAATCAATACTGTGAAAATGACCATACTGCCTAAAGCAATCTATAAATTCAATGCAATCCTCATCAAAATACCACCATCATTCTTCACAGAATTAGAAAAAACAATTCTAAAGTTCATAAGGAACGAAAAAAGAGCCACATAGCCAAAGAGAGGCTAAGCAAAAAGAATAAATCTGGAGGCATCACACTACTTGAGTTCAAACTACACTATAAGGCCATAGTCACCAAAACAGCATGGCACTGGTATAAAAATAGGCACAAAGACCAAAAGAACAGAATCGAAAATCCAGACATAAACCTAAATACTTATGGCCAACTGATCTTCAACAAAGCAAACAAAAACATAAAGTGGGGGAAAGGACTCCCTTTTCAACAAATGGTGCTGGGACAATTGGCTAGCCACATGTAGGAGAATAAAACTGGATCCTCATCTCTCACCTTATACAAAAATCAACTAAGATGGATTAAGGGCTTAAACCTAAGACCTGAAACTATAAAAATTCTAGACGATAACATTGGAAAAACCCTTCTAGACATTGGCTTAGGCAAGAAATTCATGACCAAAAACCCAAAAGCAATTGCAATAAAAACAAAGATAAATAGCTGGGAGCTAATTAAACTAAAGAGCTTTTTCATGGCAAAAGGAACAGTCAGCAGAGTAAACAGACAACCCACAGAGTGGGAGAAAATCTTCACAATCTATACATCTGACAAAGAACTAATACCCAGAATCTACAACAAACTCAAACAAATCAGTAAGAAAAAAAAATCCCATCAAAAAGTGGGCTAAGAACAGGAATAGACAATTCTCAAAAGAAGATATACAAATGACCAACAAACATATGGAAAAATGCTCAACATCACTAATAATCAGGGAAAGGCAAATCAAAATCACAGTGCGATACCACCTTACTCCTGCAAGAATGGCCATAATCAAAGCATCAAAAATCAGTAGATGTTGGTGTGGATGCGGTGATCAGGCAACACTTCTACACTGCTGGTGGGAATGTAAACTAGTACTGCCACTATGGAAAATAGTGTGGAGATTCCTTAAAGAACTAAAAGTAGATCTACCATTTGATCCAGCAATCCCACTACTGGGTGTCTGAGGAAAAGAAGTCATTATTCGAAAAAAATACTTGCACATGCCTGTTTATAGCAGCACAATTCGCAACAGTAAAATTGTGGAACCAACCTAAATGCCCATCAATCAGTGAGTGGATAAAGAAACTCTGATATATATTGATATATATGGATATATCATATATGGATATCCTATATATCCATATATATGGATATATCATATATAAATACTATATAATATATATTATATATAATATTATATATAATATATCTTATATATATTATATATAATATATATAATATACAATATAATATAATATATAATATAATATAATATAAATATAATATATAAATATATATCCATATATGGATATATAATATATAAATATATTTCCATACATATATATGAATACTACACAGCCATAAAAAGGAATGAATTAACAGCATTTGCAATGACCTGGGTGAGATTAAAGACTATTATTCTAAGTGGAGTAACTCAGGAATGGACAACCAAACATCATATGTTCTCACTGATATGTGGGAGCTAAGGTGTGAAGATGCAAACGCATAAGAATGATACAATGGACTTTGGGGACTTTAGGGGAAGAGAGGGAGGCAGGTGAGGGATAAAAGACAACAAATATGGTGCAGTGTATACTGCTTGGGTGATGGGTGCACCAGGTTCTCACAAATCTCTACTAAAGAACTTACTTGTGTAACCAAATACCACCTGTACCCCAGTAACTTATGGAAAAATATTTTTGTTAAAGAAAGAAATATTTTCCATCTTCCTCAGCGCTAAGTTTATAGTCTGCCACTGTGCACCCTTATAACGATCCTTACATCTAAATGAGATATTCTCATTAAACTTTTCCTATTTCATTAGAAAAATACGTTAAAGTTTGTAAATAGTGATTTTAACATCAAAACTTGCCTTTAACTAGAGGGCCCTAATTCTGGCTCTGCAATACCTATTACATGTCTGTAATTATTATTAATGTTATTGATCAATTTTTCCTACTTTTCCATCTTCTGTGCACATGCTAAGACAGCACTTCCTGACCCTGCTGTAGTCGAATGGGTACATATGATTAACCTTGGTCAATGAGCTGTGAGAAAAACTGGCAATGAGTTACTTACTTTTGGGCTAGAGCCTATAATTACCTACTTAAGACCATCCAGAGCTCTCTTTTCCTCTATCACAATGATAATCAAAATTCCAGAGAGTGACCACTGCATCAGCCTAGGTTTATGAGTGAGCATAGCATGAGACAGACCCTCAATACATTTGAAGTACAAGAGAAATAAATCTGTATTGTTTAAAACCACCAAGATATGTCAATCATTTGTTACAGCAGCGTAAACTATCTTAACTTGAGAGATGACTTATTCTTGGACAAGTCACTTTCCCTCTCTAATTTTTAACGTCATAATCTGATTTAACAAATAAAGGGAAAAAATTAACATTTAGTGAGCATCTCTTAAGTATAAGTTGCTTCGTTATATATAATTTAATTTAGTCTTCTCAATGACCATAAAAGGTATTATCTCCTGCAAAAATATTCCTAAATCCAAAGAAATCTCTCAACTCCACTGCTCATAGAATCCAAGCCACTACTATGTCTTACTAGCCTCTTACCTACCTTCTGTTAAAATTTCTCCCTCGTTAATTCTCCAGTGCAAAATCTTTTAAAGACTTCTCCCTGCCATTTGAATCAGAGCTAAACTCTCTTCCATGGCCTATAAGAGTTTACATGAACCTGTACCTGCCAGCCACTTCAATCTAAGCATTCATACTTTGCTGACCACTTATTAAATTCCAGTTATTCTGGTCTTCCTGATATTTTTAAAACCTATCCAGCTTGTTTCTGCCTCAGGACCTTTGCACTTGCTATTACTTTTGCTGAGTAATACACTTCCCTTAGCTCTTTCATGACTGACTTCATCATTCAGACCTCAGCTAAAGTGACATCTCCTGAGATAAGTTTTCTTTCACCATCCTTGATAAATAATTATTTATCAATTACTATCTGAAATTATATTATTAATTTATTCATTTGCTTGTGTGTTTTCAGAATTCCCTACTGCAAGAAAAGCTCCACTAGGGCAGAGACCTTGTCTTGCTTGTACACTAGTGTTTCTACAAAGCTTAGAACATTCCCTGGCAAATAGTGAATCCTCAAGAAGTTATTGTGGAACGCAATCGAATTAATGATGCAGATAAGGAAATAAGCCTCTAAGAGTTTGGGTAACTGTGCCAACTTTCCTAAATTTCTATGAGTGTTCCTAATTCTGAAGTCCATTTGCCTTTTGCTTACAGCAAAGCTCTGCTGAGACTGAAGAGTCAGTTAGCAGTCAGGGCTAGGCACTGTGCATGCGCCCTTTCAGGCTTCGGATTCTATCGTTGATGCAGTTAAAACCAAAAAGTCACATTAATCATGTTATCACATTAATCCCCAGAGAACCCTGAATTTCCAGTGGAACAAGATAACTTGAGAAATCTATTGATCTCCTATTTTCATCATGCTGTACGGCTGACAAGGGTTAGTGGAGATTGGTATTCTTTTGCCCATGGCCCTGCAACTTTAATTTCTATGTCTACCCAGATTCCCACAACTTTGCAACCTGCATTGCTCAAAGTGCCCATCCATGAAGTTCGAGTGGCTTCTTTTGTGTCAGCTCTGCCTTCCCAGCTCCTTCCCATTCAGGGAGAGGTCTCTGCCTCCTCCCCTGCTTCCTGACTCGAAGCCAGCACCCCTCTCCTCCAGTGCAGCCTAACACACTCTCATTGGCCCTCAGCCTGTCAAGGGGAGGGGCTTGTGTCTCCGGGGCTCTTCAAAAGGGATCGGCGGTCCAGGCAGCCTAACCTGGAGGGTGAAACACTCACTCTCTCCCAGCCTTCCTTACGAAGCCTGTGACTTTCGTGACTGCTTTCTCTTTTTTGTTTTCCTTTTTTCTTTTTTTTTTTTTTTTCCTGGCTCAGCTTGAAACAGAGCCTCGTACCAGGGGAGGCTCAGGCCTTGGATTTTAATGTCAGGGATGGAAAAACTTCAGAATGCTTCCTGGATCTACCAGCAGAAACTAGAAGATCCATTCCAGAAACACCTGAACAGCACCGAGGAGTATCTGGCCTTCCTCTGCGGACCTCGGCGCAGCCACTTCTTCCTCCCCGTGTCTGTGGTGTATGTGCCAATTTTTGTGGTGGGGGTCATTGGCAATGTCCTGGTGTGCCTGGTGATTCTGCAGCACCAGGCTATGAAGACGCCCACCAACTACTACCTCTTCAGCCTGGCGGTCTCTGACCTCCTGGTCCTGCTCCTTGGAATGCCCCTGGAGGTCTATGAGATGTGGCGCAACTACCCTTTCTTGTTCGGGCCCGTGGGCTGCTACTTCAAGACGGCCCTCTTTGAGACCGTGTGCTTCGCCTCCATCCTCAGCATCACCACCGTCAGCGTGGAGCGCTACGTGGCCATCCTACACCCGTTCCGCGCCAAACTGCAGAGCACCCGGCGCCGGGCCCTCAGGATCCTCGGCATCGTCTGGGGCTTCTCCGTGCTCTTCTCCCTGCCCAACACCAGCATCCATGGCATCAAGTTCCACTACTTCCCCAATGGGTCCCTGGTCCCAGGTTCGGCCACCTGTACGGTCATCAAGCCCATGTGGATCTACAATTTCATCATCCAGGTCACCTCCTTCCTATTCTACCTCCTCCCCATGACTGTCATCAGTGTCCTCTACTACCTCATGGCACTCAGAGTGAGTATCTAGGCTGGGGTGGCCTGAGGCAGCATCCCTTCTTTTTTCACAGGCTCAAAGTTCAGAGAAAAACTTAGAATTGGGGAAATTCAGAAATGGAAGGGAACAGAGGGAAAATAGAATGAGCTCAGATGGGAAATTGAGACTTAAAAGGACTTGCCTCAAATGAGATGAATGGTAACCACAACTATTTATCATTTCCTTTAGCTCGTCTTCTATTTTTCTTCCCTCTATTCTTGGGGTTCTCGTATCTAAATGTTCCTAAGAATCATGCAGAAAACTTACTTTGGGAGCAATATGCATACCTCACCCCCAGGAAAATGGGATTCAGAAGGTCTGAGGTGGAGCCTCATTTTAAATAAGCACATCAGGTGATCTGGGGTGAGGTGGCCACACTTTGAGAGACTTCTCCACATCCTGTTGTCACTTTCCAGCCCCTGGCCACTGCCTGCATTGAGATTTTCCTGTACACCAACTTGGTCTGAGTATAACACAAACTATCCCTGCCTATTTTGTAGTCCAAGATAGGTATTCAGTTTTAAAATCAGACATTTACTGTGGTTGCTCCGACCCTTTCATTAAAATGAGGTTGAAACAAAACAAAATAAAACTATATATATTATATGTATAGTTACATATATAATATATAGTCATATATATAATATATAGTTATATATAATATATAATCATATATATTAATGACATGACTGAGATAACTTGAGCTTCTTTTGAGCAGGTGCAGATTGAGAGATAAGGAAGTAAACAGCACATGAGATAGAGTGAAAAAATGTGAATAAGAGCTTATCTGAAATTAAGAAAAAGATATCACTTATTTTGCAACATATATAATTAGAGGTTCTTTTCCTATGTTTATGGTGGTAAACTGATTTCTTTTTCAGAAGGGGGGTGTCTAAATTAGCTGAGAGAAACTATTTTTAATAAGGGTAGGAATTAGTCTATATAATTCCTCTCTGGTATATTCTGCACCCAAATTCATGAAGAGAAAAGTTCTTCACAATGACAATTTTACACCCACTTAAGGGAGGTATTATAGCTTGTGTAGTAAACAGTTACGAGACCATTTAGACTCCCAGATCTACAGCTGACATATAATATGCCTTTAGGCAAGCCACATCATTCTCCTGGAATTAGTTTTCCCGTGTATAAAATGAAAAGGTCACATCAGATCCTATCTATGTCCCCTGTAGCTCTAACAGTCTATTATTCCTTTAAAAAAAGAAAAAAAAACACCTGTGAGCTGAAGTAATGTGAGTTTTAAATGACAGGACAAACAGATATCACATTCACATCATTTGCTTTGAGATGGCTCTGACATCACACTTTATGTGACAACTAATATACTCCTATTTCAGTCCATCTCTGAGAAGCCGATTGTCAGAAGCGAGTGCCCAATGGTAGTCCTTTTGAATACCTATTGTCCCTAAGGTGAATAGCGAGGTCTAAGTAGGAAGAACAAATTCTAAGTGTCACGGACATCTGGGCACAAGAGTAAATCTAATTAGGCAGAGAGCTGTGCCAGTCCCCTCCTGGAGGGCTAGCACCTGTATTCCCAGAGACATGTCCCACCCCGCACTAGCTCACAGCCATGTCTTAAGAACGTCCTGCACATCTCACTGCGGGGAAAAGACTTCTATACAACTCCAAAGAAAGTCTTATGAGAAATACCCACCCACTTAATATTACCTCATCCAATGCCAAACAGTCACCTATTTTGGGTCAATTTGGGAAAAATATTTAACTTTGAGTAGGAAATGCACAGTTCCTCTTCCAATCTGTTACAATCAGTTTCATTGTGTTTTATTATCAAAAGTCCATGGCTACCTTGTATCAGGAGGTAAGTGACAGCTCAGACAAAAGTTTAAAAACCACCCTGGTTTGCTTTGTGTATGTAATGCAACTTTTGACAGCCTGTTTTCAGGAAGGATGAGCTGTTATCCAGGGTACCAGAGGACACCAGGAAAGAAACTAACGCTTACAAAGTCACTTCTAGAAGAATTTAAAAATCTCTATACTGAAACTCAGGAAAAGTAGGCCCTATTCTGTGTCACTGATCGCAGGGCCTTTATGTACACTATACCTGTAGCCTGAAATGTTCCTACTGTCTGCCACCACTCCCCCTTTTGCCTTTCTAACCCTCATTTATTCTCTGTGTCATACTTCAACACGCTTCCTCAGGGAAGCTCTCCCAGATTCCCTGAGCATCCCTGTTTCCTGTTGTAGGTACTCATGGCTCTCCGTGATTTTCCTTCATTACAATTTATATTTCCATACTTATGGATTCCTTAATTAATTGTTTTCTCCCCAACTAGACTGTAAGCTCAGTGAATGAATGAGGCCAAATTACTTCCTTCATTGCTGGGCTTTAGCTTCTCTACCTTTAAAACAAAGACTTGGAAATATCATCTCAAGGAGACCCAAGCAATCCTAATGATTAAGTGAGTGACTCTGTTGGATAGTTTGAAGGTATGATTGACTCTGGGACCCACTGCTTTCAGAAGGCAGCAAGCCCAAGACTGATGAAATCACAGGACCAGAGAAGAAGGAGGAAACCCATATCTGTGCTCACAGCTCGGCATTCAGTCACGCTGCATCATTCCAGGACACAGCCACCACTGAGCTGTTCTCCAGGCTTTGAACATTATAGAGATAGAAAATAGACAATTCTAGGGCAAGTCCCTCCACATGTGGGAGGAAGTTCTGGTGACAGTCTGATTTAGTTCTTACATCTCCTGCATGCTGCATTCATGATTGAGGTGATGAGGATGGATGTATGAATTGCAGCAGAATTCAACCATGCCAACACAGGGTTGCACTAATTTTTTTAAGTAAATAGATTGTGTTAAGATTATAGAGATATTTACACAAAACCTATATTATAATCTGGTATTCTGAAACTAAGTCCCACAAACTATATAAATGAACATCTGGTAGAGTGATTTCAGGCAGTATAAACAACTGATCAGCATAATGTATCAACCTGAATAATAACCTCGCGAACCTCCCTTTCACTTTGCTCTTCTGTAGCTAAAGAAGGTAATCACAATTTTTAGTAATCACACTATATAGTAATGGTAATCACAACTTTTAGTAATCACAATATTTAGTAATAGTAATCACAAATTTGCACTCCTCCTTTTGTAACCTGAGTTGTAAAATAAAAGTTTTGGGGTGGGGAAGAATAATGAATGGTTGAATATCTACTTTACTAAACATCTGTAGGGAAGTGAAATTATTCAACGATAAAGCAGCATTGAATATTGGCTAGACTAACTGTTTTGATTCTATTCTATTCTGTCAACCACTCCAAATTCTGTTGGAACAATGTACACCATATGTAAGTAATCAATTTTTCACTCTTCCTCTAGTTAGCTAGTTAGGTCATTATAAACTAAGGAAGCTGCAAAATAAGCAACAATTCATCAGCACATGATTTTCTTTTTAGTGTAAACTATGCTGCTACAGGAAGCCTGTTCATAAAAGAATTGCGTGAACTATTTGTTTGATGTTTGATTTTTTTAAAAATTGTTCCTTGGGGTGGAGAAATTACCATTGAGAACTGTTAAACACAAGGCAGGAAGTGACTAATATATCTCAATATTTTTTATTGTTCTTAATTATGAACTGAAATAAAATAATAGAATAACTGCATAATGTAAAAACCACAATCTTTAAGTGGCATGAAGTAATTAGAACCTTTAATAGATTTAATCTAAGATGAGTTAGTAAAGTTTGAAGTTTGATACATTGCTCTAACCTTGAATGTGTTTTTCTTCTCAGCATATCTGCCTCCTTTGTATCAGTACAGGCACTCTTTGTGAGCGAGTGGTAACATGAGAAAAGAATTTCTAGAAGGGACTCAGTACTTCACAAAAGTAACCTCACATATATAAACAAACAACTCTAGTTTTTAAAAATCATTTTTTCTGATGTCTCTTTAGTATACTCTGGATAATAATCAGAATCACTGTAATAACAGTAATATACAACTTGCTGAGTATCATGTGCCAGGCACTGAGATAAGCACTCTACCTGCATGATTTTGTTTTACTATTGCATTAATAATACTTTTCACCTTCAGATTTTTCCTTTCTAGTCCTAATCTCACAGAGTCTTTAATCCTTTACTTTATGAAGACACAGATACATGTAGAACACTCCGATATATTCAAGAGACAAATGGCCAGGTTTATACATTATCCAAGAGGATTCTTGAGGTCCTATGTGGTCCTGAGTGCTACCTAACTGCAAGCAGCATATATGTTTGTTAGGAAGACTGGATATGGATTTGCTGAAGTTTCGAGGCAGCTTTTAAAGACCCACTCTTCCAAGTCTATTTAATTTTAAATACCTTTTCTGGAATATTCCTTCAAAATGCTATCCAGCCCAGGACGATTATTGCTTCTTATAGCAGTTTGTTTCATTATTGCACATAATCACAACAATTTCTTCCTTATCTTGAATTAGAATCTATCTACCTGTAACTAAATAGATTGATTCTAATCTACTGCCATGACTGTATAAAATAAGTTAAATTTTCGTTCCACCTGATGGCTTCAATCAATTAGCCTGGACTTTTTACACTGCCAATGAGAGACTCCAACCCTGGGTAAATACCAAAGGGAGCATAGACATGAAAAGTTCAGAAGCCGAGCTAGCTCTTGGTGAAGATTAATTAAATAAAACACACGATCTTATTATAAACCTAACTTTATTTCTGTTTCTTTGCTCTTTTTTTCTATGGTGTTGGTTTCAACCTCAAACTGCACACAGTCATCCTTTGGTGGCTCCAAGCATTTTTTCTTTGTGGTGGAAAAAAAATAACGTTTGTAATTCCAGACCTCATATGCAGAGAAGGACTCTCTCTGGCAGTCCCAATAAAAAATAAATGAAAACTTGCATCTTCAGAAGCACAAGCAAATATCTGAAATCTCATTGGTCTGCATTATTCAATCATTGTGACTGGAGGATAGGACAAGTTGATTGGCTAAATTGTTTAGGGACTATACCTGGAGCTGAAGTTTAGTGACACCTCTATACAAATTAAAGACTAAGAATGGGGAAGGAGTACATTCCCTAAGGGAAAATTAGGGTGCTATTATTAAGAGAAGAGAGAAGTAAATGCTAGAGAACTAATGGGCAAATATATATTCACTATGTACTATACTAATTTCTGGATATTTGATGGTATTTTATCATGAGTCCTTAAAGCTTCCTTTATTTGGCCAAACATCCCCACAAATTAAAAAATGTGTAAAATAAAGAGAAAAACTTCCACAACTGGATGAATGATGTAGATCTTCAGTGCTGTGGGAGTTCAAAGGAAGGAGAAGACAGTGGGCTAAAGTGGTCATCAAAGTCTTTCAGGAACAGGCAGGACTTAAACTGAGCAAGGAAGATTGTGCATACAAGTAGTGTTGATAGCTGAAAGTTTCAAATGTTACATCAAGGATCTCCATATCGTCCAACAAGGATGAATATACTTTAAACATCTTAACTCAGAAACACATAAGACTTTTCAGTAATTAATATTACTGTAATATTAAAACAACATTTCCCAATTTGTGTTTGTCAAGATGGTACAAGGTAATCCACTGAAAAGGGTTGGGGGAAAATATTGTTTACTCAAATAAACACTATCTCCCTTTTGGCTAAGATATGAGTAGGTGATGTGAGTGTGGAAGGTAGAGGGGAGCTAAGTGGAAAGTTGATACACTATCCCCCTTGAAAATTCATAATGCCCATCAGCATATTTAAGTCTCTGAGAAGATCCACAATAAATACTGATGAGGCAAGAAGAATTCCTGTTTTGGTTTTCTACTAATTATCCACCACAGAGCAGAAGGATTTCACTTTAACAGATTTCTAATAATTATGAATGAGTGAATGAATGAATTGAGAAGCCTTTCTAACTTTTCTTGAACTTCAGAATTTTACATTTTTCATGGAACACCTATTAACATGCTACACAGCCAAGTTTCCACATAACTGTATACGAAAAGTGGTTGCACTATTACTTGGCCACAATCACTTATCCAGTTGAGTAGATGACCTGAATCCAATTCCACCTTCAACATACTGTTAAACATTTGACGTAGTCTTACATTTCTCTAGGTCTCAGTTCTTCTGTCTTCAAAATGAGCGTTTGAGTTATGTTTCTCAGATTTTAACAGGAGGAAAAATGTTTCTCTTTCTTACTATCTCTCCCAACTTACTTCCCTTTCAGCTAAAGAAAGACAAATCTCTTGAGGCAGATGAAGGGAATGCAAATATTCAAAGACCCTGCAGAAAATCAGTCAACAAGATGCTGTGTAAGTGCCCCATTTTGTTTTTTGTTTTGTTTTGTTCATAAGAGCAAAGGAGGTACATTTGGTACCAACTAAATGCTGCTGGGGTAGGTTCCAATTTATCCTGAAACAGAGTATTTATGAGAGTAGATTAAGATCAAGGAGCAAAGGGGAGAGATATATAATGAAGACACCTCCTTAATGGTCTATGTCAACGCTAGGTGACCTGTCTTCCTTTGCTTCTTCAAGCTTCTAGGACCTGTGTGTTTTGTTTCATTTTTGGTTTTGAACCCTCAAAACAACACTCTCAGTTTCATCCACTGACATACACTCTGTGTGGTGCTTGGTAAATTACATTCACTTTCTCAGCCTTTGAGCTTCACTTTCCCCCTCTGTGAAATAAGCAGGTTTTTAACCTATTTGTATTATGGATTTCTTTTAAAATATGATGAAAGCTGTAGACTCTCCATTCCAAAAAAAAAAAAAAATGAACAAATATGCATACACAAAAGATTTTACAATCCATCTCAGGAGGTCACGAACCAACCCCTGATACTCATAGACTCCATGGGATCTTTTAGTTCCAGGTTAAGAACATCTGGCAAGCATCTCCAAGTAGCCATTTCACATATGACATTGTATAACTTTGTTTCAAACAGTATACTTTTGAATAAATAAGATCTTTTTAAAAATTCACTTACTGAGCCACAGTCTCCCAAAAGAATGTTATAAAAATATATGATACAGCACTACTATATGAGAGGAGTTACTGATGAGGGAAAGGAGATTTATAATACATTTTGCAAATCAAAATCTAAAGTTTAGAAGAAATGAATCCTCCAGGCTAATATGCATATGAAACATTCACTGTAACTATACAGCATTTCTGAACAAAAAATAAACTGTGAAGTCCCTGAAGTGGGTCTTCTCGATTCTAAGAGTTATCTTCTTGGAAATATTTTAGCTCCTCTTGGCACTTGACTTTCTCTATCAAGAAACATAGTTTCTTCATTATCCCTCCCCTTTTCTCCTTGGTCATAATCTACTCTCACAAAAAAAAAAAAAAAAAAACATGAAGCTCACTCATATTAAAGTCACAATAGCAGAATACACTGTAAAGTATTTGCGTTGGGATGGGGTTCAACTTTAACAGGAATTAAAGTTGTTTGTTGTTGCTGTTGTTGTTGTTGTTTTTGAGATGGAGTCTTGCCCTGTTGCCCTGGCTGGAGTGCAGTGGCATCTCGGCTCACTGTAACCTCTGCCTCCCAGGTTCAAGCAATTCTCCTGCCTCAGCCTCCTGAGTAGCTGGGATTACAGGCGTGTGCAACCACACCTGGCTGATTTTTGTATTTTTAGTAAAGACGGGCTTTTGTCCAGGCTGTTCTTGAACTCCTGACCTCAGGAGATCCACCCCTTGGCCACCCAAAGTGCTGGGATTATAGGCCTGAGCCACCACGCCCGTCAGGAATTAAAGTTTTAATTAAAGGGAATTGTAGGCAGTAGTGAACAGATTAGGGACTTTTCTTGGGTTGGCAAATTCAGTAGAAACCTATAGTTATCTTTGAAACCATACCACACAGGCAAACAACTTACTCTGAATGTGTTTAATGCCAACAGGAAATGCATGTATAATACTGCTTACTATGAAAACTTCATATCTGTACACAAGTACAGAAAACTGTAAAATGAATACCCATGTACCCATCACCCAGCTTCAAAAAGTATTACCTCATAGCTAATCTTGTTTCATGTATACCCTTATCTCTCCCCTAGCCCCAAAAGATTATCTTTAGGCGAATCCCAAGAGTCATGTCATAGCAAAGTAAAGTATTTACAACTTCAAAAGGAAAAAAAAAAAGTGTGTGTGTGTGTGTGTGTGTGTGTGTTTAATTTGTGGAGCTTAAATGCCCCAAAGAAAAACTACAGAAATACCAGTCTCTGTTTTGGGAGGTGAAAATAAGAGATGGGAAGGAATTCTGTGCTGTAGCAATTTATAATATGACAGACACACCCCTTCCAATCAAAAGATTCTTGTAAAGTACTATTAGGCTTGTGGTTGTTTGATCTCTTCTTTCTCCTTGCCTACCCATTGCAGAATTTTAAATTATTGAATTCAGAGAAACTTCTAATTATTCCTATAACAACAAGATGAATTTATATACACATTTAACAGTTTATTATTTATCTTTCACAATAAGATGTTTTCAGGACTTTGAAATAAATTAAATACTATTTTAAATGTTCTAAAAAGTTTTACATTATATAAGAAATCTTGTATAATCTTATGGAAAACTGATCCTAGATCTTATACAATTCATTCTTGTGTTTTAAGTGTTTTGTACTGAGACTCTTTGGGATCTAGTTTGCCTCTATAACTGTTATAGCTTAACAAAGTTGAAGGGAAAAACTGCCAGAAGAAATGATTGACTCAGAGTGAGCATTGTATACCTATCCTTGCACAGACTGTCTTCTGGTCTCCCATTTATCATCCATTTTCAGTTGTCTTGGTCTTAGTGTTTGCTATCTGTTGGGCCCCGTTCCACATTGACCGACTCTTCTTCAGCTTTGTGGAGGAGTGGAGTGAATCCCTGGCTGCTGTGTTCAACCTCGTCCATGTGGTGTCAGGTAAAACCTTAGCTGGATTTGGTGCATGACTAGTATTCAGGTAACAGCACCTTCTTCTTCATCTTGCTTAGATGCCTAAGTACTCCAATTTATCACGGGGATCTGCCATGCTATAATGAAGACATTTGATTTTTCTTTTATTCAGAGATTGATTATGTTTGATACTGTTCCAAATACATATATACCAGATCACTATTTTCAAGGCTACTTTATGGAAAACCTCAAGTCTAACTGTGATGATTACAGAAGGAAAATGGTCAAGGAGTGATTCCTTTGGTTATCCTCCAAATGGCCATGCAATTAAATTGGTTCTTATTTAGTAAACACCCATGTCCCTGAAATCTCATATTGCCTTTGGGAAGTATTATATCCTCATGAAGGAAAACTAAATGGTATTCATAGGTAATCAAGTTCTCCTTTTAGGCTACTGTAACTCTGCTTGTTGAGGATACCATAGTATATTGTGGAAACCATGGTGGAAAGGTCAGTAAGTCAGATGACCTGGATTTGCAACCCAATTTCACCATTGCTATTCTGAGTGATCTGGAGAACGTGGCTGCCTTCACACCAAAGTTTCCTCAACTGTAAAATGGCAAAAAAAAAAAAAAAAAAAAGCCTCCTGTACACAAACCATGGACTGATGGTAAGGAGCAAATGCAATAATAGACATTAAAGAGCTCTTTAAGCTGTAATTGCTGTATATCTTTCTATAATCATCACAAGGTCATTAGGTGGATATTATGATTAACATTGTATAGTCAAAAATAAAACCCTTCCACAAGAAGAAATGATTTGCCCTAAGGCACTTAGCTAACAAATAACCCACCCAAGTCATCTAACTTCAAGTTCAGTGTTCTTTCTACTAAAATGAAGCAAAGAATGACCACCTAGTTTCTTCTTTCTCAGTCAGTGACAGCTAACTCAGTGTTAGCCTTAGGCTCAGACCTCTTCTGTCCCCCCACCTCTCCTGGTCACCGGCTGATTCTATGGGCTCATTAGATTATAGAAGACATCACCGGAAAGGAAAGATAAGATCACCTTTTACAAGTTAAGCTCCAGATGTGTACAAAGCAGAAACAATGACATCTATACTGAATATTGTGTATACTATGTATTTTCTGTCACCCTCTTTTTTGTACTCAGCAGGCCTAATGTATAGCTTATTCCTGGACATTAGCACTTTCCTGTTCAACCATTTGCAACCAAAGCTCAAAAATATGTATACCTCTTAGTTTATCCTTTTGGTTAATCTGCGGAAAACAGAAATGTTTAAATAAATGAGAAAGCACTACAAGGTCAAATGAGACTTGACTAATTGACTACAATTCTCTGGATGCGTCAAGGCAATTATCTTAAGATTTTCAAGTTATAGCCTCAATAATGACATGATCCTGTTCAGATACCATCTCCCCCCTTTTATATTAGCCACTAGATTAAATCTAAATCTCTTAAACCCTACAGAAAATACCCCCAACTTGCCTTTTAATCCTCCAACTTTTATTATTTTTATTCATAGACCATATACTTATCAAATTGGTAATTAGAGAGTTCTGCACATTATTCCTGCACAATATGGCCATTCCTGCCCCTGAATACTTATGCGTGCTATATACCCTGTACCTGCAACACCCTCTCCTGTCTTCCTCAACTATCTCTTACCCATTTTGAGGCCTGGCTAGAGTTCAATCACCCCCCACTAAATCTTTTATGATTATCACAGTCCTTGTGTTTCTGTTATTATGTGAATTGCTATAGCATGATTTGTTATCTCATATTTGTTCTTAACAGATACTGCTTGGTATTGTTGTATTGTTAATTATTTAACTTAGCCATAAATCTTGTCTCTGCAGTACCATTCCAAGATCTTGGAGAACAAAGTCTAATTCACTACCTCCCAATGTGCTTTGAAGTTCATGGCACATAATAAGAGTTAAATCAATATTTATTTTTTGAATGAACTAATAGTATTAATGCATAGAAATATTCTCCTTTAACATTCTTCCATGTTTATTCTGTAAACAAGGCATATAGCATTCTGAATGTTCTGAACCACATAAATAAGGACAACAAGGAACCTTTTGGCAATATTACCCATCACTTGTTTTACATTCTTAGCCATTCTCAACCTCTCTGTGGATGGTATCTTAACTTTACCCTCACAATAATCCAGGGAGGTGGGTTAGGCTGGAAATCACATTCCCATTTTACAGAGAAAGAAACTGAAGTGCCAGGGTTTGTCTAAGGCCACAGGATATTAGAGGGCCAAGATCAGAAACTAGGTCCTCTGATTCCCAAACTTGGGCTGATTTTGGGCTTTAGAGAAATAAAATTTAAAAAGGCAATAAAGGAAGAGTGTATTCCAAACAGGAAAATGACAATGTGAAGGTTAATTGGTAGAGGAAATAAATGGTAAAATACAATTCTTCAAAAGGTGGAGGAACCATCAAGGGAAAAGGGTAGGTAGGAACAGCACGCTAGGGAATATTTCTTTGAAGCCGTATCTTAGCATTATAAGGAGTCTCAGCAGGAACTAAGCCTTGGCTGATTTACCTTCTTCCACTACTTGCAATCCCAAATTATAGATTTAAGTAAAATTCCAATGAGATAGAAACGTTTCTCTTCCCTCTGATATTTAAGCATCTTTCAGTCATGTTATAGAAACATGTTCTTTAATTAAACAAGTAGTGATCAAAGAAAGTTGCTGAACATCTCAGAGAGATCCCATGTCAGCCTAACTTACTCCAAGACTCTTTAATCTTTGTGTTTGATGGCTAAGTGCACAGGTGGAAGATCTATTCAGAGCATTTTGTATTCTCAATTAGATGCTTGTATGTATTATCACTTATAAAAGAGGCAATCACAGGGATTCTAGGCCTTTGTAAATATTTATGCTTCTTCCTTCATGCCGGTCACTTAAGTTCTTCTCAGCACATCTTTTTAAATCCCCTGCATTCCAGGTGTCTTCTTCTACCTGAGCTCAGCTGTCAACCCCATTATCTATAACCTACTGTCTCGCCGCTTCCAGGCAGCATTCCAGAATGTGATCTCTTCTTTCCACAAACAGTGGCACTCCCAGCATGACCCACAGTTGCCACCTGCCCAGCGGAACATCTTCCTGACAGAATGCCACTTTGTGGAGCTGACCGAAGATATAGGTCCCCAATTCCCATGTCAGTCATCCATGCACAACTCTCACCTCCCAGCAGCCCTCTCTAGTGAACAGATGTCAAGAACAAACTATCAAAGCTTCCACTTTAACAAAACCTGAATTCTTTCAGAGCTGACTCTCCTCTATGCCTCAAAACTTCAGAGAGGAACATCCCATAATGTATGCCTTCTCATATGATATTAGAGAGGTAGAATGGCTCTTACAACTCATGTACCCATTGCTAGTTTTTTTTTTTTTAATAAACGTGAAAACTGAGAGTTAGATCTGGTTTCAAAACCCAAGACTGCCTGATTTTTAGTTATCTTTCCACTATCCTAACTGCCTCATGCCCCTTCACTAGTTCATGCCAAGAACGTGACTGGAAAGGCATGGCACCTATACCTTGATTAATTTCCATTAATGGAAATGGTTCGTCCTGAGTCATCTACGTTCCGAGTCAGGCTGTCACTCCTACTACCAATGGCCACTGTGAGCCACAGAAGGAAGACATGTACGTGCTGTTCTACTTTATATGATGTGAGAAGCCAACATCAGTGTCCCTTGGCAGCAGTCTACAGGCATAACTTGTTTTATTGTGCTGAATTTTATTGTGCTTCTCAAATATTGCACTTTTAAAAAAATTGAAAGTTTGTGGCAATGCTGTTGAGCAAATCTGCTGGCATCTTTCTTCCCAAAGGCATGTGCTCACTTCATGTCTCTGTATCAATTGTCATAATTTTCGCAATAAACTTGATTATTATTATATGTGCTTATGGTGATCTGTGGTCAGTGATCTTTGATATTACTATTGTAATTATTTTGGGAAACCTATGAACTGCTTCCATAGAAGATGGAGAGCTTAATAAATATTGTGTTGTTCTGACTGTTCCACCCACCAGCCATTCCCCATCTTGGTCCCTCTCCATGGGCCTACCTATTCCCTGAGACAAAACAATATTAAAATTAGGCCAATTAAGAACCCTGCAATGGCCTCTAAGTGTAAGTGAAAGGAAGAGCGGCAAGTCTCTCACTTTAAATCAAAAGCTAGAAAGGATTAAGCTTAGTGAGGATGTAAAAAAACTGAGATAGGCTTAGAGCTATCTATGCCTCTTGTAGCTTTTAGCCAAGTTTGGAATACAAAAGAAAAGCTCTTAAAGAAAGTTAAAAATGCTACTCTAGTGAACACATAAATTATTGTAAGAAAACAAAACACCCTCATTGCTGATACAAAGAAAGTTTGAGTGGTCTGGATAGAAGATCAAACCAGCCACAACATTCCCTTAAGCCAAAGCCTAATTCAGAGAAAGGCCCTAACTCTCTTCAATTCTATGGAGACAGAGAGAGCTGAGAAAGATGCAGAAGAAAAGTTGGAAGCTAGCAGAGGTTGGTTCATGAGGTTTAAAGAAAAAAGCCATTCTCTATAATATAAAAGTGCAAACTGAAACATTAAGTGCTGATGTAGAAGCTGCAGCAAGTTATCCAGAAGTTACAGCTAAGATAATTGATGAAGTTGGCTACAGAAAAACAAAAAAGATTTTTAATGCAGATGAAACAGTTTTATCTTGGAAGAAGATGCCATCTAACTAAGGCTTTTATACCTAAAGAAGAGAAGTCAATGTCTGACTTCAAAGCTTCAAAGAACAGGCTGACTCTCTTGTTTGGGGATAATGCAGCTGGTGACCTGAAGTTGAAGCCAATGCTCATTCACCATTCTGAAAATCCTAGGGCCCTTAAGAATTATGCTAAATCTACTCTGTGCTTTATAAATGGGGAAACAAAACCTGGGTAACAGCACATCTGTTTACAGCATGGTTTACTGAATATTTTAAGCCCACTGTTGAGACCTACTGCTCAACAAAAAGATTCCTTTCTAAATATTACTGCTTATGAATAATGCACCTATTCACCCAAGAGCTGTGATAGAATTGTACAAGGATATTAATGTTTTCATGCCTGTGAACACAACAGTCATTCTGAAGCCCATAGATCAAGGAATAATTTCAACTCTGAGAAATACATTTCCATGAGATGGTAGCTGCCATTGATAGTGATTCCTCTGATGGATCTGGACAATGTAAAATGCACCTTCTGAAAGGAATTCCCCATTCTAGATGCAATTAAGAACATTAGTGATTCATGGGAGGAAGTCAAAATACCAACATTAACAGGAGTTTGAAGGAAGTTGCTTCCAACATTCATGAGTAATTTTGAGGGGTTCAAGACTTCAGTAGAGGAAGTAACCACAAATATGGTAGAATAAGCTAGATAACTGGATTGGAAGTTCAGCCCAAAGATGTTACTGAATTGCTGCAACTTCATCATAAAACTTGAACAAATTAGAGATTGCTTCTTATGGATGAGCAAAGAAAATGATTTCTTGAGATGGAATCTACCACTAGTGAAGATGCTGTGAACGTTGTTGAAATGACAACAAAGGATTTAGAATATTCTATAAACAGCTGACAAAAGAGCTGCAGGGTTTGAGAGGATTGATTTCAATTTTGAAAGAAGTTCTCTTGTGGGTGAAATGCTATCAAACAGCATTGCATGCTACAGAGAAATCTTTCATGAAAGTAGAAGTCATTGGATGCAGCAAACTTTATTGTTGTCTTATTTTAAGAAATTTCCACAGCCACCCCACCCTTCAGCAACCACCACCCTCATCAGTCAGCAGCTGTCAACATTGAGACAAGATCCTTCATTAGCAAAAAGATTGACTCACTGACAGTTTACATTATCATTTTTGTTTTTTAGCCACAAAATATTTTTAAGTTATATACATTTTTAAAACTTCATGCTATTATGGACTACAATATAGTGTAAACATAACCTTTATATGCACTAAGAAACTAAACAAAAAGTGTGACTCGCTTTATTGCAATGGTCTGGAACTGAACCCACAGTATCTCTGAGGCACGCCTGTATTTACCTACTGCCTCATATACTGCCATTATAATGTGATTCCTTACAGTCCTACAGCATTTTACTTTAAGAGTTCCCCCTTATAATATGAGAATGCTCCTTAGAATGATTATCTCTACCACCCCAATCGCCAAGTCATTATCAGCCATTTCTCATTAGGAATTGGATCCAAACTAAGAAGTTCAACTTAGAGAAGAATGAGAAGAGGGAGGGGCTGCGGTGGAAGGTCAAAAGAAGCATAAACTATACCAAACAGGAGCTTAGTTATTTTCATAAATTAGTCTAGACTTGGATTTCTAATGTCTAATTTCATATAGTATAGATGGAAGTATGGTCTACTATCTTGGAATAAAGACAAGTCAAATGGCAACAATTGGTCTCAAACCCATAACTTTTACTTACTCAGTCTTTTATTACTTACATAATACTCTTCACACATGTAATATGGACAAAACTACTTCCTAGAATAATTTTCCATTATACCATCACAAGTAATGTATACTCTATTCAAATGGAATTACTTGCTGTTCTTATGCAAATGCATCCCACAGTTTTTCCCAGCTGCAGATCTTCATGCGTAGAAGGCCCACTTCATCTCCAATCTCCATCTGTTTCTATCCTACTCATCCTTCAATGTTCATCTCAGTGTGGTGCTTCCTCCATGAAGCCTTGCTTGATTTATTCAAATAGATATTGTATCTGACTTCTCTGTCAGTTTATGTCTCTTAAGCTTTTTCTTCACTCTGCTTTTTATTTCAGTGATTTATGTTCTTGCTTTGCCAGAATGTAAATTTGTCAAAGACATGATGTATCTGGTATTCATTTTTTCTGTTGTTGGAACAATGGCAATATATCTATCACAATGGTAGATGTTCAATAAATATGTGATAAAGTGAGTTGGCTTCATATTTCAATGTATTGAGTTAAGCAACAATTTCAAATGGAACCATATTAAGAGACAAAAGACTAAGATTAGGTTTCTGACAGGGATACCTGACCTTCAGTTGGCCAACCAATCACTTGTGATTATAATGATATGCCTGCTGTCCCTATGGTACAAGAAGGCCCTTCCCAATCTCAGGAGTTACTGATGCTGAAACACAAAAGTTCCAGCATTTAGCCTCTGAATTGTTCATAAGTTGAATGAATGATTCCAATGATAAATGGGGGTATTGGTCTCTGACATCATCATTTGTTAATTTAATAGTCATATTCAGATACTCAACATTAAAACAAACAAAGAAACTCTGCTAATTGCAACCCAGTTTTAATAAATCAGAATTCTCTCATGATGGTTTACATTAGTGGGCAGAATTCTGTGGTCATTCGAGGATTGAGTTGAAAAGGCTCTGCAAAACAAAACCTCAAAAATGGAGGAGAAATTAATTTTCTACTTGCCTTTTAAAGTAGAGATATTCTTGAATGATAATCTATTAACCCTTAAACATCAAATTAACATCACCTCCCGATTACCAGGACTAAAAATGCTGCTGTTGTCAGTGAATAGATAGAAAGAGAAACACACTAAAACTAAAGCTAGCAATTTGACTGCTTGACTAAAACTTTGGTCCTTTTTTGTTTTCTCCTCATTTATCTTTTTCTTTTAAAAACTTGTATCAGCTAATTATTTACACATAAATTCTTCCTTTAAACACATCTTCACTTGGTGACATTAGGAGATGTGCATCATGCCAGGTTATAAACTTCCTGCCCTTGAAAGTTGATGTCTAGAAGAAGAGATTATTATTTCTGAAAACCATGACAACAATAATTGCTTAAATCTGATTGTGAAGTGTGCCACAAAATATAAATACAAGTACTTTGGCACCATATGAAAAAGGGATTTGACCTAGTCAGGAGGAAATAAGATTCAAAAAGAAAAAAAAAGAATAAAATAATGTTGGCTGAGTTTTTGTTTATACATACATCTACACATGTACATATATACATATAGGAAGTATGTATTTCAAAATGAAAATTAAAATATCACAAGTTCTAGAGTTAGCTTATGTAATGGTTCATATAAAATTCATAGAACAAAGGGAGAAAACAAAATTAAATTGTTTAATGCTTCTAATGAGGTTAATTAAATTGACCTCATGATCTTTTTATGAATTCCTTGTGATCTCTGAGTTTTAGAATAATGATAGAAGAGTCCACACAGTAAACATGATTAATAAAATATAGTCATGTGCTGCATAACAATGTTTCAGTCATTAGTAGACCACAGACTAATATGTGAAGGTGGTCCCATAAGATTATAATATCACATTTTTACTGTAACTTTTCTATGTTGAGATATGTTGAGATACAAAAATACTTACTATCGTGTTACAGTTATTTACAGTATTCAGTACAAGAACATGCTGTAAAGATTTGTAGCCTAGGAGCAATAGGCTATACCATATAGCCTAGGTGTGTAGTAGGCTATACCAGCTAGTTTTGTGTATGATGTTTGCACAATAACAAAATTGCCTAATGATGCGTTTCTCAGAAAATATCCTCATCACTAAGTGACACATGACTGTATTGGTAACTTAACTCTTTTGCAATGAGATAGTGACTTTTTAGCACTCCAGTAATCTATAAGCTTAGTGAACTGAAGCAATGACATTCAGAATGTTGCCTGTCACATTAGTTTCTCTAGCTCAAAGAAATAGCAGGCGTTTTAAAGCTGACACCCATGAACAAATGTAAGGAGATCCAAGAATCTCCTGAAATTATATTCAAAATTCTTAGTACTTTTCCCCCCTTGGAGAGAAAATGTATATAGCCTTGCTTAGCTCCTCAAAGTAGTCTGTGACTCAAATTATTATAACCTCTATTGTAAAGTGCACTTAAGTCTTACATAAAGATACTCTCCTAATGGATGAATTTTAATTGAATGAACATATTTGTGGGACAGCTAAAGAAGTAACATTATTCCAACATAAGAATTCAGTATGTAAAAGTATCAGTGGTTCAGTAGTGTGCTGGTACTGGCTTGGACTGGCTTATAAAAGCTTATTGTTAAATATTTAGGACTTTTGCAGGCCTGTTGTCAAATGATTGATAGCTTGAAATCAGTCACGGTGAAAATATTTGTATTGCAGAAATTGGCAAACACCACAAATCAGGGCTTTTTTCCTCTCCCAGCTAGCTGGCTTATCAGCACACCACTAGCTATTAATATGCTGGTATTCTGCCATCTTGTTGTAATATATGTGATTTGTTTTTAGAATAAATGCCAATAACACTGTTATAATTATAGGCCACTTAAAGTTGTGGTTAACTCATTGAAAAAAATAGTCAATGGACCAGATATTTGACCCAGAGGTACCAGATAAAATAGGCTGAAGCATGCTAATTATGACATGAAAGCCTCATCAGCATTTTGTAATTAACCTACAGTGGAAGTATTACTGTGGAATGCTGTCCATTAATATTAGTGCAGAAAATAGCAACAGATCTACTTATCTTTTGTATACATCTGTTTTTAAATATCCCACAGGATTCACTGTAAAAAGATGCAAATATTCCACATTCTCCTCTACTTAGCTGAAGACTCTTTTTCTTTAGTATGTGGAAATGCACAATAAATACATTATACGGTTTTCAGATTACTGACTGAAAGGAAATTTACAGTCATTCTTTCACTATCTCTTCTTAGCTGTGGCCCTGATTCAATACAGACATGCAGCCTATTTTAAACCCCTATGTACATTATGAATTTTATAGACATTTAGAAAATGAAGGAGCCTTCAGGATTATCTAGTTCAACAGTTTTTTATGTATCAGTAATGTTAATTGAGACTTTTCTAGCTACTCTACTAAGAGCTTTACATTTATGATCTATTTTAACCTTACCAAGAGATGGACACTATTATAATTCCCATCCCATAGAACAAAAATACATTGAAACAGAGGACTTAAGTGATTTGCCCACAGTTACACAGCTAATAAATGTTGGAGATGAGATTTAATTCTGCCAGTTAGTTCTAAGTCTAGACCGCCAGCTCTTAGCTACAAATCTATACCAACTTTCTAAAGCACAAAAAGGAAATATGGCTTGTCTGAGATGAAACAATGAGTCAGTAGGTTCATATCAGGACTGATTTATCCTGACTTGGGCCCATGGTTCCTTCCATACCTCACTACCTTTAATGAACGAGGAGTACCTATAGCCTGTATAATTTAGAAAATAAATTATAATATAAAAAAGCATACTTCTTCAATGTGTAATAATGATCTTTGGGTCTCATTTAAGAGAATTTCATTAATAGGTTTATCTATCTAATTTGATTAGCTTTTTAAAAAAAGCTTGTATTCCTTATACACAAACCAAATTCTTGACAGCAGAAGGACATAGCTTTAAAATATGCTAGGTAACTGTTGGGTGGCTCACACTGGGATTCTTAAAAGTCTAAAATCATGCTTTGACTGAAATTGAAAGAAGGTCTTAGAATTCAGTCTCAAACTTCACCCTATAATTTTTACCTATTGGAGTGTCATTTCCTAATGGTGTAAAAGAAAAAAAAATTGCACTGGAAACTTGTTAGTAATGGCAAGCAAGCTTTATTCAACACAATTACAATGGGGGAGAGACTAGTGCCACAGGTGAGAGAAATTGAACTCAACTCCAAATATGACTGAAACAAGTGGGGATTTATAGCCTATAGTCAGAGTGAGGGAGACAATAAAAATTGCCAAGAGGAACTTTATTAGGTATTAGGAGGCTGAGAGAGTTGATTAGATAAAAAACACATGAAAAGAAGCCTGGCTGAATATCAAGGTCTATAAAATAGCTTAGTAGGATTCTAGCTAAAACTGGCCTCAGCAGGCCAAAGATGGGAGCCACAGAGAGGCCTAGTAAAAACAAGGCTCAAAGGAGCCTGACTACAGTTTGATCAAGGAGCGATTCCTTATCAATTGTGAGCCTATGAGCTGAGGATGGCAACAGGAGAAACCCAGGGTAGATGGAAAAACTCTTCAAGTGTTATAAAGTGCCAGGTTCTGCAATATGATTCTTAGAAAAGTTGTGACTCACCTAAAATTCTTCTCTCCACCTTCTTCTCAACTTGTCTCTTCGAGAAGTTTTCCATGACCATATTTTCTCTTATCATAACTCTCCTTAGGGTTCTCCAGGGAATGAGAACCAGTAGGATGGATGAATGAATGGATAGATAGATGGATGATGGTGATAGATAAATAGATAAAAAAGAAAGGAATAAAAGAAAGGAAAGAGAAGAAGGAAGGAAGGAAGGAGAGAGAGAGAGAGAGAGAGGAAGAAAGAAAGAAAGAAAGAAAGAAAGAAAGAAAGAAAGAAAGAAAGAAAGAAAGAAAGAAAGAAAGAGAGAAAGAGAGAGAAAGAGAAAGGAAGGAGGGAAGGAAGGAAGGAAGGAAGGGAGGGAGGGAGGGAGGGAGGGAGGGGAAGGGAAGAAGGAAGGGAAGAAGGAAGAGAAGAAGGAAGGGAAGAAGGAAGGGAAGATTGGCTCAGATGATTATAGAAACTGAGAAGTCCCAACATCTGTAGTTGGATATCTGGAGACCCAGGAGAGATGAGGGTGTAATTCCCGTTTGAGTCTAAGGACTAAAGACCCAGGGAAGGCAATGGTATAAGCTTCAGTTCAAGGACAGAAGAACAAAGTTCCATCCCAAGCAGTCAAGCAGGAGAACTTCTCTCTTACTTAACATTTTTGTTCTATTCAGATCTTCAATTGGTTAGATGAGGCCCACTCACATTAGGAAGGGCAATCTCTTTTACTCAATCTAACATTCAGATGAATTTAAATGTTAATCTCATCCAGAAACACCCTCACAGGCACACCCACACTAACGTTTGACCAAAATGTCTGGGTGTCTTGTGGCCCAGTCAAGTTGACACATAAAATTAACCATCACAGAACAAAAACATATCTCAAAATAATAAAAGCTATTTATGTCAAACCCACAGCCAATATCATACTGAATGGGCAAAAGCTGGAAGCATTCCCTTTGAAAACCGGCCCAAGAAAAGGATACCCTCTCTCACCACTCCTATTCAACATGGTATTGGAAGTCCTGGCCAGGGCAATCAGGCAAGAAAAAAAAAAGGGGGGGGATATTGAAACAGGAAGAGAGGAAGTCAAATTGTCTCTGTTTGCAGATGACATAATCCTATATCTAGGAAACCCCATCATCTCAGCTCAAAAGGTCCTTAAGCTGATAAGCAATTTAAGCAAAGTCTCAGGACACAAAATCGATATGCAAAAATAACAAACATTCCTATACATCAACAATAGACAAGCAGAGAGCCACATCATGAATAAACTCCCATTCACAATTGCTACAAAGAGAATAAAATACCTAGGAATACAGTTAACAAGGGATGTGAAGGACTTATTCAAGGAGAACTACAAAGCACTGCTCAAGGAAATAAGAGAGGACACAAACAAATAGAAAAACATTCCATCCTTGTGGATAGGAAGAATCAATATCATGAAAATGGCTATAATGCCCAAAGTAATTTATAGCTTCAATGCCATTCCCATTAAACCACTATTGACATTCTTCACAGAGTGAACAGGCAACCTACAGAATGGGGAAATTTTTTTTCAATCTACCCATCTGACAAAGGTCTAATATCCAGAATTTACAAGAAACTTAAACAAATTTACAAGAAAAAAAAATCCATCTAAAAGTGGGTAAAGGACATGAACAGACACTTCTCAAAAAAAGACATTTATGCAGCCAACAGACATGCAAATAAAAGCGCAACATCACTGATCATTGCAAATCAAAACCACAATGAGATACTATCTCATGCCAGTTAGAATGGTAATTATTAGAAAGTCAAAAAACAAGTGCTGGCAAGGCTGTGGAGAAACGGGAACACTTTTACAATGTCGGTGGGAATGTAAATTAGTTCAACCATTGTGGAAGACAATGTGGCCATTCCTCAAGGATCTAGAACCAGAAATACCACTTGGCCCAGCAATCCCATTACTGGGTATATACCTAAAGGAATATAAATCATTCTATTATAAAGATACATGCACACATATGTTTATTGCAGCACTATTCACAGTATCAAAGACATGAAATCAACCCAAATGCCCATCAACAATAGACTGGATAAAGAAAATGTGGTACATATATACCATGGAATACTATGCAGCCATTAAAAAAAGGAGAACATGCTCCTTGAAGAGACGCAGATGAAGCTGGAAGCCATCATCCTCAGCAAACTCACACAGAAACAGAAAACCAAACACTGCATATTCTCTCATAAGTGGGAGCTGAACAGTGAGAACACATGGACACAGGGAGGGGAACAACACACACTGGGGCCTGTCAGGGGGATGGGGCAGGGAGAGTTATCAGGACAAATAGCTAATGCATGTGAGGCTTAATACCTAGGTAATGGGTTGATAGGTGCAGCAGATCCCCATGGCACACATTTGCCTATGTAACAAACCTGCATGTCCTGCACATATATCCCGGAACTTCAAGTAAAATAAAATTTTTAAACAAGTATCCATCACAGTAACTCACACATACTTTCACACAATTGCTTCTGTGGCTCCTAGAGATTTTTCTCTAGTCATTTCATTTTCTGTGAGTCTGCATGATTCATGCTTAGTATGAATAGTGTGTCTTCCCCACCCCCAATTCCTGACACAGTCACTAGAAACACCCTCTCACCTCCAGGCCATGATTTTCTACCTCAAAAGATCACTTATCTTTTAAATTAAAAAATACATTTAAGGCCGGGCGCGGTGGCTCACGCCTGTAATCCCAGCACTTTGGGAGGCCGAGGCGGGCGGATCACGAGGTCAGGAGATCGAGACCATCCCGGCTAAAACGGTGAAACCCCGTCTCTACTAAAAATACAAAAAATTAGCCGGGCGTAGTGGCGGGCGCCTGTAGTCCCAGCTACTTGGGAGGCTGAGGCAGGAGAATGGCGTGAACCCGGGAGGCGGAGCTTGCAGTGAGCCGAGATCCCGCCACTGCACTCCAGCCTGGGCGACAGAGCGAGACTCCGTCTCAAAAAAAAAAAAAAAAAAAAAAATACATTTAAGTTATTAACACCTGTGTATTGATTTATAGATTTTTTTCTTGATGGAAAAAAATCAAGATATTATAGAAAAGGAAATTATATTTGCATGTTAGATTCAGTCTCCAGTGTCTGAAGACATTTTTGATTGTCTTTTGATGTCTGGTAGGTAGAGGCCAGGGTTTCAGTGCAACATCCTGCAACGTCCAGGATGGCCCCCAAAATCATCTGACCCAAAATTTCAATAGTGCTGAGGTTGAGAAACTCTGGTCTAGAGGAAAGACAGTTAGATGTTCTTAGAAGGGAATTTGATTTTTTGTTGAAAAAGAATTTCCAAACTAGAAAGGATCTTAAAGAGTGTACTCAAACTGCCTTTCTTCAATGACAGAGGAATCAAGATTCATTACTTGCATAATGTGCCTGAGGTGTTGCAGCTGCTCAACTCGGAGAAAGAACTGACACCTATGTCTGCTGACTACCAGTGCAAGACACATTCTTGTTTCCCTGCCCGTAAAATAGAAATCCGATTAACCAAGAATATTACCTTAATAACTTTTCAAATGAGAAATAATTTAAAACTCTTTAGTTGTAAAATTTATATCTATGTTAGGCAGCTTACAACATGGACCCCTGCAATGATCCCCACTTTTTGGTATTCACATTCTTGTGTAATTTCTCTCCTTGAGTGTGGGCTGGACTTACTGACTTTTTACTAACGAATAGAATATAGCAGAAAGGACAGGACGTTCTTTTTATTTTGTTTTATTTTTAGACCGGGTCTCACTGTGTTGCCAGGCTGCAGTGCAGTGGCGCCATCTCAGCTCACTGCAACTTCCACCTCTCGGGTTCACATGATTCTCCTGCCTCAGCCTCCTGAGTAGCTGGGATTATAGGTGCCACCACCACACCCGGCTAATTTTTGTATTTTTAGTAGAGACGAGGTTTCATCATGTTGGCCAGACTGGTCTCGAACTCTTGACCTCGTGATCTGCCCACCTCGGCCTCCCAAAGTGCTGGGGTTACAGGCGTGAGCCACTGCTGCTGCCCAGCCAGGATGTCACTTTCAAGAATAGGTTACAAAAAGACTGACCTCTCTCCTGGGCATACCTCCCTCTCTCTCTCTCCCTCTCTTGGACAGTTCTCTCTGAAGAAACCAGCTGCCAGTGAGCTTGGAAGCAGACCCTTCCCTGGTTAAGCCATAAGGTGTCTGCAGCCCCAGTGGACACCTTCACCATAGTCTCGTGAAAGACCCAGAGCCAGGGACACCCAGCTAAGCTACACTTGGATTTCTTACCCACAGAAAGTGTGAAATAATAATTTTTTAAAAAGTGTTGTCTTAAGCCACTGGGTATTGGTGTAATTTAAGTTACTGTTGTTACAGTAAAAATTTAATAATCTTGAAATTATTTAGGAGGAGGAGAAGAACTCAAGTATTGGCATATCTTTACAACACAGAAACTTTCAAGCCACCTTGGGACTGTTTTATTTTGAATTAAATTAAATTAAATGTAATGGGACCATTGTAGAATTAACTTTAATGTCATTCAGCCTGGACCTACTCTGGGCATATTTGCTGCTGATAAAACCACTTTAATTTGTATGTCTTTAATTCTCTGGGCATTGCAGAAAAAGAAAAAATAGAAAAATAAAATAAAACCTGATTGCCCATAATTTCTACTGTGTTTACGTATGCACCGGAAGAAACTGTAATTTACAAACTGAAAGAAATAGTACAACATCTCGTTGGTACTATTTTTACTTGCATCTAATGGATGTGCAAAGGAAATGCTGAAGACTCCCTAGAGATATTGAAAAAATACTTTACTACCCCCAAGTGGACATGTAAGTTATATTTACTGAAATAAAATGTAAAATTGGCATTGTCATCCAAAAAACAGGTATGAAATGATTATATAACAGACTCAGAATCTCAGAGCTGGTAAGAATTTTAAAATTTAGAACTTTAAAATATAGAACCTTAGAACTGGTGAGATATTTGAATTCCCTCTACAATCTATCTTATGCTTGTACATTTTTTCATTATGTAAGTTTGCTGGCTACCAAGGCAGCTCATTCCCTTTTCAGACAGCTTAATTTGAGTTGTTCTCATAAGTCTTTATTTCTCTTGAAAACTGCCTGCAAACCATGCAAGATCTTTCATGTCATCTATACCATTCTTAATGTTATCAGTGACTTACAAAAAGGGAGATACTATAAATTTCCAGACAGCATATTTAAATAACACAGAAAACTGAATTTTAATCTTTCTTGAGTGTAACCCTAAAAAGTCCTCCAACTATTGTTTCCTTATGTAAATGATTCAATCAATTCTGACACACAAAGGGCCCCTACAATCTTTCAGACTCTCCAGGTTTTCTAGATCTGGTTTATGAGTCATGTCTCAGAGAGTTCAGTTTGCCAAAATTTCAAACTAAAAGTCTAGGCCAACTCCTTATCTGTGTCAGAGGTTTCCAAAGATGATAGGTAGCATGATTTAACTCAAGCGTAGTTATCAGCCTGGAGTTTTACTCCAGCCTTTTCTACTGAGTAGGGCAGAACTACGCAACAGCTTAAGGACTCCTTTTGCTTCTCCAGCTAACGTTGAGACCATTGTTTCTCAAATTATGACCAGTGGACTACCTGTTTGTGAACCAAGTGGGAGTTTAAAAAAAAAAATGCAGGCTCCTGAGTCTGCTGAAATGCAATCTTTCAGCTGGAGTACTGTGATGGGAATTAGTATTAATCAAAAATCTCCAGTAAATTCTTATGCCCACTAAAAATCGAGTGGGTTGTTTCCAGAAGATTGGTCTCACTATGAGTTCTGTGAAAAACAAAGGATATTGAATTCAGATAAGTTAGGGAACGTCAGCAAACTGTAGGGAAAGAATGTACTACAGCATCCTGTTACTGTGCCTGTTACTTTTGCTCATGCCTTTTAATTGTCTGTCAGCAGTAAAGAAGGAAGAATTACATATCATATTATTCAGAGTTTTGGGATAGTGACTGGACTGTAATGATGATTCGATGCAATCACTGTGTCTTAAAAGCATAAACAAGGCTGCAGTGCTCTCCCACACATCCATTTACACAGCTGTTTCTGTGCAGATGTGGCTGATTGTTGTCTCTTCTTTCTCTCTCCTCCAGATACATAAGTTAGACCAAGGCCGGTGAAGACCTCTGCCATATTGCTCTCCATCCATTTACTCAGCTTCCTTTATCCATGAGCCTGGCATGAGATAGTAATATTTAAAGACTTAAACCAGGGGAAGATAGGAAGCCCCTTGTATGCCTTAAATTACATATTATGTGTTTTAACATTATCATTTACAGGGGAGCCCTATATTGGGGCATTGGCTACTTGAAGAACTATTAATAAAATGGTTTTTCCTTATAGATTTTACTTATCCAGAATTCTATGAAAAGAAGAGGTGTCTTCCAGGCCAGGATCTAGGCATTTTTAGAATTCAGAACTAAATTCCCCTCCTAATTGCCCTAAGATCTTATCTTTAAGCCTACAAAGAACACTTTACCTTCCTTTTAGAGACTCATAATTCATAGTGGCACATGTAAGCCTCCATGAGTCCTACACATTGAATAAATTTGCTTACCCTCACTTAATTTGAAATTTTCCAATCCTGTGTGCTCATGGTACCCCACTGAGGTAATGTCACTGAGGGCACATTTTGGGAAATGTTAGTGTAAATGAGGAAGTTAGCAAACATTTTCTATAGAGAGCTAGATAGCAAATATCTTAGGCTTTTACAGCCATATACTTTCTGTCACAACTACTCAGTGCTGACATTGTAGCACAAAAGCAGGCATTGACAATATGAAAATAAATAAGCATGGCTGTGTTCCAATAAAGCTTTATTTACAAAAACAGATGGCAGATTTACAAAACTTTATTTACAAAAACAGATTGGCCTGTGGGTTGTAGTTTGCTGACCCCTGGTATACACTAAAAACAGTCAAGTGATTTTTTGTTTGCTTTTTGTTTTTCTGTCGTTTTTTCTTCTAGGTCCACAACCTGATTCCATTTTTAAAGCCTTATTTCTTTGATGAGGAAAAATATTGGAGGTAAAAAACAGAATTGATTCATCTTTTTAATATAAAACAATTAGACTTTGTTATAGCTTTCATTTTCATTATTTTGATTACCCCCACCTTTTCCATCTGCAACAAGGCATTCTTGCCAGGACAACTGGCTTTCGGGAAATTAAAATTCAGAAGCACTAGGCAGAAACCCAAAATGGGAGAAAACAATGTCAGGGCCAAGAAAGGATAGGCAAGACAGAGAGAGAGAGATCCTAAAACGGACGAGAGAGCCTTTGCCCCAGTGTGTTTCTACTGTTTTTCCCCCGTGCCTCCCTCTAGAGCCTTTACTTTAAGCAAAGTGGCCTGGCTGGTCTCCCCAGAGTCCATTTTGTCCCCATCCATACAGAAGGTCTTTCTTTTCCCTGAGCATAGGGAGAAGTTAATGGAATGGAGAGAGGAGAATAATAAGTCAATTTCTTCCTATCTTTTGTGTGTTGTTTTAAAAATAATATGTTAATACTTTAAGTAATTATTCATTTCACGTTATAATCCTTATAATCCCCTCTCATGTATATGCTTCTTTTTTACTAGCAAAATTGCATCAATCTATATTCTCTGTCTCCACATCCTCATATTCCACCTTTTCTTGGAATCACTTCACTCAGGCTTTTCTTTCCATTGCTCCAGGAAAGCCACTCTCATCAAGCTCACCAATGACCTCCAGGTATCAATTATTTATCCTCTTCTTGTTCAACTTCTCAGCAGCATTGATTTTTTAAAATTCTCCTCTCTATTGAAACACTTTCTTTCTTGACTCCCTGAATACCACTCTCACCTTCTGACCACTTCTCAAACATTTCTGCACTACACTCTAATCCAAGCTACCTTCTTCTCCCACCTGGTCTATCAAATAGCTTCTTAACCGGTTTTTATTTTTTTATTCCACTCTTGCTGCCCCCACTTCTGACTGTTCTCCACGGAGGAGACCCTCCTGGTTGATTTGATGCTTTAAACCACCTTAATCTGTTCAAAATCTACTAATGGCATGCCAACATATTTAAAACAAAACCCAGACCCACTGCATGGCCTACAATGTAAAATGTGGTCCCAACAACCCTCTGCCTTCTCCCCCATCCCACTGCATATGAGTTACACTAGGCTACTTCTGGCTTATTTATCACGGCCTTTGCACTTGCTGTTGAGCTTACCTGTAACATATTTCTCCCAGGTGCATGGATGGCTTGCATCTTCATTTCATGCAGAGCTCTATTCAAGTATCACATCTCAGAAAAACTTTCTCTGACCAACATTTTTAAATTAACCACTCCTTCTTCACTGTCTGTCCCATTTATCCTACTTTAATTTTATTCAAAGTGCTTATCACTTCTAGTTATATATTTATCTGTTTGTTGTTCTGTGTGCCTCTGTAGAAAATAAGTGCCCCCAGGGCTCTTCACTACTGTATCCCCAGCATTTAGAATATTTCCTAGAACACAGTTGGTTGGTAGATATTTGTTGAATAGGCTTGGTACTGGGACATAAAACATTCGTAAGGTATAATACTTTGTATTAAGGCTATATAAATCTAATCCAAGATGTGGAATAGGAAATGGTGGAGAGTCATGCATACAACTACAAAGATGCAAGACAGAGTATCTGGTATCCAAAAAGGAATAAGTAAAATTTTATGAGAGCATGGTTCACTTCAAAATTACCCCTATGACTAGGGGAAGGGTTTATGGAGAGGATGACATTAAGCTTAGAACATTAGATAATGCATAGTATTTTGTCTGAGAAAGGAAGAAGGAACAGCATGAAAAATGCTAGAAAGGTAAGAAAGCATCTTCATTCATTTATTTAATGAATATTTATTGATTTTCTATTATGAGCTTGCTAGGCATTGTTTTAAATGTTGGAGATTCAGGAATTGAATACGAGAAGAATACAAATTACAACCTCAAAAAGTTTACATTCTAAGGAGAATAGTCAATAAAAAATAAGCAAAGAAATATACAAATAATTTTAGATTATGACATAAGCAGGATTATAATAACATATTGGAGGATGGGATAAAGAGCTCAAAAGAAATGGGGAGAAAATTAAGGCACTGCTTGGAAATGACTTACCACAGAAGTTCTCTAAGGGAAATTCTAGAACCAAAGGATGAAAAGGAGCCAGCTCTGTGCAGAGGTGAAGGAACATCATACCAAGATGAGAGAACAGCAAGGTCGCAGGCCCTGGAGTGGGGAAGTGAACAGTCATTCACATGTTCACTGACTATTTCTGGTTTCCTACCTCACAGGCACAATGTAGGATTGCTCTTCCTTGTTCTTGAATTAGATGGGGACACATGACTAGTTCTAGCCTCTAAATTATAAGTAGAAGTAATGAGTATCAACTGCTGATACAAGATCTGCCAGAGGATGTTTTCCCTGTAGCATAACAACTAACAATTGTTGAGATCAATGGCAGCTTCATCATCCTAGATCCCTGAGTGACTGCAATAAACAGAGCCCCTCTGTGATCCATAGTAAACAGACAATAACATTTGGGTACTCTGTGTGTGTGTGTGAACACATGTTTTCTTTCTCTTGGGTAGTTATCTAGGAATGAAATTGCTGGGTCATATGGTAACTCTATGTTTAAGAAACTGCTGAGACGTTTTCCAAGTAGCTATATCATTTAACTCCCACCAGCAATGTATAAAGTTTCCAATTTCTCCACATCCTCACCAATACTTGTTATGTCTTTATTTTTATTTGTTATTATAGCCATTCTAGTGGGTGTGAAGTGGTACATCATTGTGGTTTTGACTTGCATTTCCATAATTAACACACAATTTTGTTTATATCGGGCAAAAATAGGTGCAAGGAGACCACTGAAGAGGCCCTTTCAAAAGATCAGATGACAGATGACAGACAAGGTGGTAACAGTGAAGAGGGTATGAACTTCCACACAGCACAAAGGATTTGCCTAAACATTGTGCTAAGAGACGTGACCAAACTTTAGCCTGGCTGCCACCTGCACTATACCATGTCCCTTAAGGTGACACACAATGCCACCAAACCATGAAATATACATTGTTCCAACCCACAATCCCAAACCATTTTCAGTAATTCTTCACGTACTGCCCTCTGTAATTTTCTATTGCTCCACAGCTCCCTTAATCTTTTTTTTTATTTCCTCCTTTTTACTTCCCCAGAGCTCCTTTGTGTTTTCTCTGTTTTCCCTTTAAAACCCTCTGTCACATTTGTCTTAGCTGGAGTTGAGCTCAGTGTATACTGTGTCTCTCTCCCCTGTTGAAGTAGTCTGAATAAAATCTGTCTTGCCAACTTTAATAAATGTCTGGTATTGGTCCCTTTTGACAAGGGAAAGAAGATATATTTCAGAAACAGAATGAAATGTCATGCTGAAGAATTATATGCAGGGAATGAAAGTAAGTAACAAATCAAGGTTGACTTCTGGGTTCTTGGGTTGAGTAGCTGAGTGGGTTGAGGGTGTCAATTACTAAGATGAGAAAGTGTTGAAGAGGAACCTGAAAGAAGAAAAAAGAGAAATTTTAAAACATTGTTTTGAAAACGTGAATTTGACATACCTATAATATATCCAATTAGAGATAGTAAAGAGTCAGCTGGATATATAAATCTGGAACACAGGAAAGAATATAGTATTGTAGTTATAAATTTCAGGGCCATCTTTGTCCATTTGGCATTTAAAGTCATGGAGTGAATGAGGTCACTGTATGTGAATGTGTAGACAGAGAAGATCATCCAGAACCAACAGGTAGAGAAGTCTAAGAACTAAAGGTAGGATTGAGAAGAAAGAAACAGTAAACAAAAAGACAAAAAAGGATGATTAAAGAGGCAAGAGGAATATTAAGAGAGAGTGGTATTCTAGAAAACAAAAGAACAGCTTCAAGAAGAGGTCAATAGTAAATGGTGAAAAAAAGAGTTCAAAGAAATGTCCACCTGTTTTGGCAACAGGATTATCATGCACAGAAAAGGTTTTGGAGAAGTAATGATGGTAAAAGCAAGATTGGAGTAGATTAAAGAAACAGTGGAAGACAGGGAACCTGATGCAATGAATACAGAACACTCCTTTAAGATTATTTACTATGAAGAAGAAGAGAGAAATATGATGATGAAGAAGTAGAATGTGGATCATGGGAGGGCAATGTAAAATGTGAGAACCCACAGTGTATTCATATGCAATTGGAATAATTTGGTTAAAAGGAAGAAACTGTGCTGTCAGAGGTAGGGGAAACCACAGAAGTGAATCATTGAGGAAGTTACAGTCTCTGGCACCGAGAGCACAGGAGACTGACCCTTGGTAGAAGCAATGAAAAGATGGAAAACATAAATATAGATCCAAACAAAGGTATGTTCTGGATTTGATAATGTGTATATGAGAAAGTCCCCCCTGCTTCTATTTGTTCAGGCAAGGTTATCAGATATGGGGACAGGGATGGTAAGACACCTGAGGGAGTAAAGTATGAAAGAATTGTCCTGACAAGGAGAAACCATGCTTACCAGGATGAAAATTCTAGGCAGTGTGAGGTCCATTTGAAGTCTGACATCTTGAAATTAAGCTGCAATGGGTCACCCTACCATATGTGTGTTTTTCATTTGGGTACAAATGCTCATCTGTTTAAATTCAGGTTCAGACACGGTAAATAATTAAATTCAATCTGAATTGGGTTTAGCCATACCAACATATCAGAGGGCTAGAAAGGCAATGTCATTGAGGATGTTTACAAGGGAATGATTACCATGATGAACAAGAGCGTCTAAACTGGGTAAAAAGGCAAATGTAGGTAAAAGAATAGTCGGGTAAAATGATGAGGTCAATGCATTGGAGACCCAGTTGGGGTGAAAATATTGTTGTAGAGAGAGGACTAGATGAATCAAGACAAAGAGCACAGAAGCTGGCAATCAGGGAGTAAGATATTTGAAATAAAGATTTCAGAGGTGACACAGTTACTGATGATACAGGTTGAGCACTCCTTTATCGAAATGTTTGGGGCCAGAAGTGTTTTAGATTTCAAATTTTTTTCAGATTTTGGAATATGTGCACTGTACTGATTGAGTATCCCAAATCTGAAAATCTGAAATCCGAAATGCTACAATAAGCATTTCCTTTGAACATCATGTTAGCACTCAAAAAGTTTTAAATTTTGGAGCGTTTCAGATTTATTTTGTGAATTTCGGATGCTCAACCTGTAATAAGGTCTAGGCAATAGTGGGGAGGAAGGCAAGAACACTGGCAGAGATCAATGTGATCCCAGTGGCTCATCTTCTAAGAAGTTAAAGTTATCAGACATTCTGATGGGCACACAGCTTCTGCAAAATTTTTACATTGTATTTAAATTAAGAAGTACATGTTCTTAGCCTACAAAGCCTCAACATTAAAGGCCAAACCCTTGGGTTGCAGATATTTTTAAAAATCTGAAATAAGTTGTCACAACAATATTGAAGTCTGTGAGAATGGTGCTGTGTGAAATTGTCACTGCATAGCTTGTGTAGCTGCATACAGCAGCCCTGTAACCAATGGTTAACCTCATCAACAGTCTAGTCCAGTTATTCTCATCTGGGGATGATCTTCTCTCTCAGGGAAGACCCCAGGGGGATATTTGGCAATGTCTGAAAACATTTTTATTCGTCATAACTTGTGGAGACTGTTATCTAGTGGGAGAACTGATATCTAGTGGACAGAGCAAAGACACTGCTAAACATCCTACAATGGACGTGACAGCCCCGCTGTCTCCTGCAATAATATCTGGCCCAAAATGTCAAAGTTAAACTCTAGTCCTAGAATCTGAGCATTCCCTTTCCTTTCCTCTTACCAGGAAGACATATACATTCTTCAGAAGCAAAATACCACAGTGATTTCTGTATCACTATGGAGCATAGAGTTTGTGCAGACTCCTATCTCTGACCCATTCCCTAATCTCTCCTTTTCCTCCATCCACCTATGTTTCTGATGGCAACTTGTTTTCATCCCTAGCTGAACATAGAGAAAGCAGCTGTAATCACTAAGTCATTCAATTAATTACAGGATGCATAAAATTAAGGTAATTAAGAAGGAAGAATTAGGTCAATCCTTCTCAATTGGCTATACTCAACTTATCTTGTAAGCTGTTAGTCTAATTGTGAAGCCTCCTTGGGCTCTGAAAAATGCCCCAGTGGTATTTCTTGCCTTCTCTGACATTAGCAATTTGCCAAAGGGCTTGCAATGAGAGTTCTATGTTAAGTATCTAATACCTGCAAGGCCAGTTCTGAACACAGTCCTGGCCCTCCTAATCCACAGGTTTTGTACCAACCATGCGTTGAAAATATTCAAATTTTTTTAAAAACTTAAAAATAATAATAAAGCAATAAAAATAATACAAATAAAACATTACAGTGTAACAACTATTTACATAACATTTACATTGTATTAGAAGTATTGTAGAGATTATTTAAAGTATACGGGAGGATGTGCATAGGTTATATCCAAATTACCACAAATGTGATGGCTTAAAACAACAAAAATGTATTATCTTATAGTCCTAGAATAAGAGGACTTGAGAAGTTCAAGATCAAGGTATTGGCTGGGCCCTGCTCCCTCCAAGGCGTCTAGGGGAGAATCCTTTCTTACTTACATCTTCCAGCTCCTGTTGCTCTAGGCATTTGACTTTCTCCAACAGAACTCTACCCTCTGCCTCCATCTTCACATGCCCTTCTCTTCTTCCTGTATCTGCTCCTCTTTTTCTTTTATGAGGACACTTGCCATTGGATTTAGGGACTACCCAGATGATCCAATATGATCTCATCTTGATATCATTAACTTAATAGCATCTGCCAAGACCCCAAGTAAGGTCATATTCAATATTGCTGAGTGTTAACATTTGGATATTCCTTTTATCTTTTTTTTTTTTTTCTTTTTTGAGAGAGAGTCTTACTCTGCTTCCCAGGCTGGAATTCAATGGCACAATCTCAGCTCACTGCAAACTCCACCTCCGGGGTCCAAACGATTCTCATGCCTCAGCCTCCTGAGTAGCAGGGACTGCAGGCATGCACCACCATGCACAGCTAATTTTTATATTTTTAGTAGAGACAGGGTTTCACTACGTTGGCCAGGCTAGTCTCGAATTCCTGGCCTCAAGTGATCCACTCATCTCAGCCTCCCAAAGTGCTAGGATTATAGGTATGAGCCACCGCGCTCAGACAAATTTCGATATTTCTTTTTAGGAGGCACTATTCAACCCACCACAGAACGCATGATCACAAAATGATTAGAAACTGATAATCTGGATATTTTACCAGTCCACCAATAGAACCATCCATTGGTGATGTTTTCAACTTGCCTACCACTTCAATAAAAAGACATAAACCAAGCAGAGGGTGAGGTACTAGAAAGGCACACACCTTGCCATTTCTGTAACCACTTAGCCTGGGGACCTCAAGGATGACTTCAATGGCCTTTCAGAAGTGCTTGAATAAGTTGGTGGAGGTTCAGAAGAAAAGAAGCATTTAATTGAGAGGCCAATTATATTAACCATCTTAAAGCCTTTTAGAATCACTCATTAGTACAGCTCTATTTAGGTGAACAGAGTAACAAAACAGTGCCATTACCCTTAGGAAAGTGAGAAGAGTCAGGGGAATGCATTTTAAAGGCAATGAAAGCTCAGTGAGATTGATGGGCTTCACAACTACTTCAATTTGTTCACTTCACTACTTTATAGTTTTCAATGAGTGTCCCCCAACTCCATTATGTTTATTGGATGAGTGCCAATGGACACTGGAGGTAAGGGATAATAAGAATTATGTTACTATTATCCTTAATATTAAATTGTATAATGCTGCATCATCAAAATATGAAGAAAATTATATTTAATATATAATCACTTTTAATCACTATTTTTCAAAGCCTAAGTTAGATGAAAAGCTATTCATCTACCATGAATCACTGGAATCTTTCAAGCCAGATAATATCTACATTATGCTTCTCTGAGCTTGTAACTAACTATAAGATTATCTGAGATATATGTGAAGATATGTGCCAAAGACAGATGTGACTGAAATATATTCATAGCCACAAAATAAAGTAATAAGTGTTTAGTTCAGTCCTTGATCCTCATCAAATTATTAACCTAGCAAGATACCATTTTCTCAGTGAGCTTCATTGTTTCATTTTGTCAAATTAAGGGCATCATCTCTGGAGTCATGCAATATATGCCCAGAAAAAAATAGAATTTCAAATTCATATAAGTTTGGAAAGTGCTACAAACTATTTATCTTTCTTAGATATTCATAATTCACATTTGAACACTAATGGTTCTGAGAAGCCCTGAAATAAAAGCATATTTATGTAAGCCATTTTGCAGATATCAGTAAACTCTAAAGTTTACATGAAAAGCTAACCGACCTTAAATAACTGAAATAAAATGGAAGAACAAAGTTTGAAGACTTCCATTACCCAATTTTAAGACTTACTATAAAGCTTTAGTAATCAAGATAGTGTGGTATTGGTGAAAGAAAAGAAACATAAATCAATACAACAAAATGAAGATCCCAGAAATAGACCCACACAAATATTGTGAACTAATTTTTTTTTTTTTTAAATAGAGTCTCACTCTGTCACTCAGACTGGAGTGCAGTGGCACGATCTTGGTTCACTGCAACCTCTGCCTTCTGGGTTCCAGCAATTCTCCTGCATCAGCCTCCCAAATAGCTGGATTACAGGCGTGCACCACCACACCCAGCTAATTTTTGTATTTGTAGTAGAGACGGGGTTGCACCATGTTGACCAGGCTGATCTCAAACTCCTGACCTCAAATTATCTGCCTGCCTCGGCCTCCCAAAGTGCTGGGATTACAGGCATGAGCCACCACATCCGGCCCTTGTGAACTAATTTTTGACAAAGGCACAAAGTTAATTCAATGGAGAAATGATAGTATTTTCAATAAATGGTGCTAGAACAATTGGACATCCATATGCAAAAAAATAACCTATCCACAGATCTCATATCTTACACAAGAATTAACTCAAAATGTATCATATAAATGTAAAAGCAAAACTATAAAACTTCCAGAATAAATAATAGGAGAAAATATATGAAAATTTGAATTTGGTAATGAGTTTTTAAATACAACACAAAAAGCACAATCCATGAAAGATAAACATTGGCAAGTTGGTCTTTACTTAAACTAAAAACTTCTGCTCCATGAAATCACTGTTAAGAGCAAAAAGACAAGGAATAGACTAGGAGAATATATTTGCAAAAGTATATCTGATAAGATACTTGTATCTAAAACATACAAAGAACTTTTAAAACTCACGAATAAGAAAAAGAAACTAATTTAAAAATGCACAAATGATGTGAATAGATACTTCACCAAATGATATGTTAACATTATATGTCGTTAAGGAAAAAAATTAAAACAATGAGATACTACCACATACCTATTAGAATAGCTGAAATCTTTTGAAAAGGAAAAAATAAAAAATCTTGATAATAAATTGCTAGCAAGGATGACATGCAACAGATACTCTCATTTATTGCTGGTGGGAATGCACTTTGGAAGACAGTTTGGCAGTTTCTCACGAGGCTAAATATAGTCGTACCACAGTGTCAAGCAATCACACTTCTAGATATCCAACTGATTTGACAGTTTATTTCCACACAAAAGCCTGCACACAAATGTTTAGAGCAGCTTTATTAATAAGCTTCAAAAACTGGAAGCAATCAAGACATTTATTAGCTGCATTGATAAACCAACTGGTATACCCAAACAATGGAATACTATTCAATGATAAAAATGAATAAACTATCAAACCACTTAAAGATATAGATGAGTCTTAAATGCATATTGCTAAATGAAAGCTACCAGTCTGAAAAAGACCGTTTGCTGTATGATTTCATTTATATAATGTGCATAAGAGTTAACATAGTAGGCCTGAGACTATTAACCATAGGAAAACCTGCTTGCAAGGTTGCTCTTCTGCTAGCATCTGGGAACCTGGATGTAAGAAGAGTTTCCACCATTCCAAGGACTGATAAGAGTGGCTCACTTTGCCTTAACTACTCATGCAAACAATATGGTGTATGTTGAACACCTGCTTCCCTTCTAGATGTCTGGAATTGGGGTATACATTAGGCATGCAAATTTTTTAAAAAATTAGGAAATAGGGGAATCCCAGGATGGAATGCAGAATATGGCAAAAGACTTTAGTACAAATGCATAAAGCAACCTTATTCAAAGGGGTAGGATAAAACTAACGTTAGAAATTAGTGGAATCTATAAGATCAAAGACAAAAGAAACTATACATAAACAGTATACTCTGGTTGATAAAGTTTTTTTCCCAGGGAGTAGAAGTCAAGTCTGAAACCTCTAAGCATATATACTGGAATTCAACAATTAACTAATTGGATGACAGATGATGGAAACCAGGTTTTCATTGCTGAAGCTGGAAACTGCAGAAAAGCAAGGGGAAGGCTAGAATGTTGTAAATGAAGGATTAGAGTTGGAGACATCAATGTGAAATTATGTTTTGCTTAATATAAATACAGATGTTACATACAGAAATATTTATAGATAGGTATACATACATCAATTAATATAAACATATACTTTTTTTTAAATCTGTCAGCTGAGAGTTCCTAGAGGCAGTGGCACACAAGTTTCAAAAAGCATATATAGCCCCCAGGTCTCGGTTTCTAATACTATTCATATATTAAAAAACAGACTCCTTGGAAAATATCTGATTTTAGTACTAGAGCAGAAAATACACAAAATTAGCCTGAAACATCTTATGTCATAAAGTAAGCACATGCTAAAATGAACAAAACAAAAACAAGAACAAAACAAAAACAAAAACAAAACAAAGAAAAAACCACAATGATGAAAGTATGTCAAAAGAACATAGGAAGAAATTTAAGCTCCTAGTAGCCAAAAATGGAATAATTTGAACAACAAAATAAAATTATATTGAATTATAACCCAATATATAAAGTAAATATCTATGAGTCTATATTGATATAAATAAATGATGAAATTAATAAATGGAAGAGAATAGGCAAATCTCTCATGCTGAAAAATTCCAAATGCTTTATGTAGATACTCTGCCCCAAGGAGATAGAGAATAACTTTCTACACATTATATATCAACTGCACATAGTGACTTTCTTCCAAAAATTACAGTACTGCAAAAAAAACAAGAGTAACTCTAAAGTGGGGAAAATTAACAAACACTACCAAAGCCAGTTAACCAAGATTAACACCAACAATGGTTAAGTCATCCTGATAGTATATAGCCTTAATATGATGTAATGAGAATAGCACTTTATCTACACAGTCTTACTCCCAAAAAAGTCATAATCCCAGTCTAATTGTGAGAAAAATATTAGACAAATTTCACTAGAGAGTCATTCTACAAAATACATGACCAGTACTGTTAAAAACTTTCAAGATTACCTGAAACAAGGAAAGCCTGATAAACTACAGTAGCCAAGAAGAGCCTCAAGAAACACGCCATCTTAACGTAATGTGCTATAGTGAATGGGGTCCTGGAACAAAAAAAAGATATCAGAGCCCCCGCAAAAAAAAAAACCTAAGAAAATATGCATAAAGTATAAACTGTAATGAATAATGATGTATCAATATCAGTTCATTAATTGTTAAAAATGTACCACACTAATGTCAGATGTTAATAACAGAGAAAACTGGTTGTTATGCATGGAAACTCTGTACTATTTCTCCAATGTTTCTGTAAATGTAAAACTATTCTAAAATAAAGTGTTTCTTTAAAAACATATTTATATCTGTTTATCCAGAGTTTTTCAAAGCTATTTGACCAAAAATCCTCCTTTTTTTTAATTCTGTATATTACCTACTAACACCCAGTAGAATTCTCATTTTGTAGACAACTCTTTGGAAAACGTCGAGTAAGATGGCTGCTAAGAGTTCTTCCAACTTTAAATCTTTGTCTCAGAAGCTTGGACTAAAAAATACCTGGATGTATGGTACATCGTTTCCAAATGGCTACATGCAAGTTACTACTTCCCAGGAGTAAGAGAATAAAGGTCACCCCCACCCACCTCATTGGTGTTGGTTGATTCTGGTTCAGTGTCCTTGAAGTTTTCCCTAAAATGCTCAGTCTGCTATCCAAATTTCAGCTCCCAATCTTCTAGGATATACAGTGCAAGCACTGTATATCTTCTGTTGTTAGCAGGTCTCTTGTTTGAGAGAGCTATTTTTGTCCAGGTGTGTACCCAAGCAGCACATGCCTGACCTTTCCATTTGGATCTAGCTTCATGTTGCTTTATTATACTCAAGTATCATGTGGGTTCAAGCCATGGCTTCCCTTACAAAGTAGAGAGTTTGGAAGCATCATTTTACCCAAGAGCCTCTGAAAAGGAAATCATGCTACTTACCCAAGACCTTTTCATGAGAATATTGCCACAGTCAAATGAGAGGAAAGATGGCAATAATTACTGTGAACTGCAAGCACTTACCTACCTTTGAAAGGATGATTCCCCTACACACACTGCTGTCTTTCAAGTATTTGCTAACACTTTCAACCTCCTCATAAGAGACACAGCCAAATCTCCTTTATGAAAACTCATCCTTATTTCAAATACCACTTATTCCAGTGACCCTTCCCTGATTCCCATGTCAAACCCCCCATAGTGCTCAGTACTATTTTATATTGCAAATTATCCCTTCCCTTGCTTTTAATTTTTTCATATCTCTCCTGCTATGCTTGTCTCATTTAATATAGATCTGAATGGTATTTTTTATTATTTCTAACTTTTAAGTTCAGGGGTACATGTACAGAATGTACAGATTTGTTACATAGCTAAACATGTGCCATGGTGATTAGCTACACAGATTAACCCATCACCAAAGTGTTAAGCCCAGCATCCATTAGCTATTCTTCCTGATACTCTCCCTCCTCCCAACCCCTACCCTCTGACAGGTCCCAGTGTGTGTTGTTCCCCTCCCTGGGTTCATGTGTTCTCATCATTCAGCTCCCACTTATAAGTGATAACATGCAGTATTTGATTTTCTGTCCCTGCATTAGTTTGCTGAAGATAATGGCTGCCAGCTCCATCCATGTCCCCGTAAAGGACACGATCTTGTTCCTTTCGAGATGGAGTTTTGCTCTCGTTGGCCAGGCTGGAGTGCAATGGTGCGATCTTGGCTCACTGCAACCTCCACCTCCTGGGTTCAAGTGATTCTCCTGCCTCAGCCTCCCAAGTAGCTGGGATTACAGGCATACGCCACCAGAACCGGCTAATTTTTTGTATTTTTAGTAGAGACAGGGGTTCACCATGTTGGCCAGGCTGGTCTTGAACTCCTGACCTCAAGTGATCCACCTGCCTCAGTCTACCAAAGTGCTGGGATTACAGAAGTGAGCCACCTGCCTGGCTGATCTCATTCCTTTTTATGGCTGCATAGTATTCCATGGTGTATATACCATATTTTCTTTATTCAGTCTATTTTATGGATGCCAGTGATGTAGGCAGTAGTAAGGGTGATGGGGAAAGGATGATGAAGTACCAAGGAGGTCAACATGAACTGTTGACTTCTCTTTCCTCATTTGCTGCAAATATCCCAGCAACAGTTAATCTTGTTCATTTAACCTCCTTGGTACTTCATAGTCCTCTCCCCATCACCCTTACTACTGCCTACAACATTGTCATCTATCACTTAGATAACTGCAACAACAATCTTAACAGAACCCCCAAGCCCAGTCTGAGTAAGTCATTCCACCTGACTCCTTGTTGTACTATCAGAACAATCTTTCTAAAAATTCAAATATAATCATGTCACTGTTAATATCTCTTGTTAGCTTCCAATTGTCCTCAGGATAATATTCAAATTCCTTAGCATAGCATGGCCCTGCCATTTTTGACTCTCCAGCATCATTTCTCAGCACTCTGATCTACTCAGAACACTAAGTTTCTTCATGGCTTTTCCTAAGTCATTCTACTCATGTATCTTCCCCACGCCCTTTCATCTGAATAACCTCTAACCATTCTGTAAGATTCCCAGGTGCCATCCCCTCCAGAAAACTATTTTGGCCTCCCTCAAAGCCAAGCTACATGCTTGTCCTGTAAGTTTTATAGCACTCTGGAGATACCTGCAAACCTATAAAAACTAAATATATATTCCACACACTCACTATTATTTATATCTGTATCTTCTTTGGACTGTGAGCTCCTTGTTTGATAAATACACAAATGAATGAAGTATGTACCATACTCCAGGACATTCCATCACTTGTTTGGTTTTTGCTGGGGAAGACTACTCTAAAACAAGTGTTTTCCTTCTGAACTACCTCATCCTATAGCCTAGTTCCTGAGGAACTGGTCTACTTTATAATCTAGACTTCCCTGCTAGTTGGTGACCTATCACAGATTAATTTGGGTCACTAATCTGTTATTCAAGGACTTTGTCTATGCTTAAATCCAATTGAGGAGAGGCTGGGGGGATAATTAAGCTCAGTAAAACAATGTATCAATTTGGATGTAGTCACTAATTGTGTGTTTTTAAATCACACGATTGTCTCAACCAAATAGAAAACCATCCAATTCCACGAAGTCAAATACTTAGACAGCTGGCCCAGTGCCTCTGTGTTTTTCTCAAGAAACTAAATGTCAGTCTTCTGTGCATGGTTGAGCTGGAGAAAACTGTCTAGTGACAGAGCAGGGGTGGAGAGACCTATGAGGAAGGTCCCTCCAGTTCCCGATTCAGGAAATCACTTTTGCCTTAGGGAATTTTGATTCCAGATTGGCTTGTCATTTCTTTTGCTACAGCAAATTAAATTATTGTAACAGACCTAGAGTAGGGGTCAGCAAACTTTTTTTCTTAAATGGCTAGATAATAAATAGTTTCAGCTTTGTGGGCCAGGAGACAAAATTTAGGCTATTATGTACTTAGTAATATAACCATTTAAAATGTAGTTATTTTAAAACATAAAAAATCTCTGTGGTAGCTCTCCATTAGTTTGAAGACTATGTAGCTGGATTTGGTTTCCGGGCTGTAGTTTGCCAACCCATGCTCTAGAATTGCCTGCCCTCTCCATAACAACCCTTCAGGTATTTGAAGTTAGCACACATGATAGCATACCTCCAAACTTTGTCCCACATACAGCCCCTAGGCATGGTCTTGGTCTCTTTATTTCTATCCCCTTTCAAGGTCTCCTATTGAATAGCACTTACAATGTGTTATCTATTTAAAATCACAGCACTCATTGCTTGAGCCCAGAAGTTCAAAGTTGCAGTGAGTTATGATCATGCTATTGCCTTCTAGCCTGGGTGACAGAGAAAGACCCCATCTCTTAAAAAAAAAAAAAAAATCACAGCATTCAGAGTAAATACAATATTCTCATTCTTGTTTGTGTGGCATGAATTTTGGCAAGTGATATTTCTTCAGAATCTGCATTTCTACAGAATGTTCCTTTGTTCTCCACTCCTATCTCTGCTTCATATAAGGAAGACCCAACTCATTATTTAGATTTCAAGTTAAACCTCTTCAAAGCATTATCATATCCCAAACCCTGCCCTCCCTCCCCATCCTTCAATCTCTATTTCAGTGCCATTTTTTGTTTGTTGTTTTTTTCATAGGACATAGCCCAATTTATAATTATCTTATTGATTTGTCCGTTTACTTGAAGGATATTTTACTTGTTGTCACACCAAGCAGAATAAACTTTGAGAAAGCTAGGATAATTTCTAGTTCCAGTTATGATGAAATAGGAAGTATCAGACTTAACCTCTGCTGTAAATGGAAAAAATATATATAAAATAATGTTCTCAGGCACTGGATTAATGTCAGGCTATGATCTTTGACAGAAGGGAAGCACATGAGGTAAAACCCTCTGTGTTAGAGTTCTTAAGAGAAACAGAATCAACTTGATGGATGGATGGATGGATGGATGGATGGATGGATGGATGGATGAGTAGGTAGGTGGACGGATGGATGGATGGATGGATGAGTAGGTAGGTGGATGGATGGATGGATGGATGGATGGATAAATAGGCAGATAGAGAGATGATGCTTATTATGGGAATTGGCTTATATGGTTATGGAGGCCAAGAAGTCCAATGATCTGCCATCTGCAAGCTGGAAAACAAGGAAATCTGGTGCTGTAATTCACTCTGAGTTCAAAGGCCTGAGAAACAAGGGAGCCAATGATGTGAATACTGGTCTCAAGGCCCAAGAACCAAGAACACCAATGTCTGATGGATGTCCCAGCTCAAACAGAGTGAATTTGACCTTTTCCCATCTTTTTGTTCTATTTGGTCATTTAATAACTGGATTATGCCTGTCCACAATAGTGAGGGCAATCTTCCTTACTCAGTCCGCTGATTTAAATGCTAATCTCCTCCAGAAATACCCTCACAGACATATCCAGAAATAGTATCCTATGGGTATCCCTAAGCACAGCCAATTTGACACACGAAATTCTTTCTTCTTGAGGGCATTTTCTAAATTCCGATGCAGAGAAATAGAGTCAAGCAGACAACAGCAGTTTTACTGGATTGAGGAAATGGAGATCAGAGTTCACAGCTGCTAAGATGATTGAAATTTCAGGTGCAGAGAAAGGAGGAAGCAGCAGAGAAAGAGTCCTAACCAGCTGTGTAAAATTACTCCTTGGGTCCTTGGAGTGGCTATTCAGCATCATGATGAGGAAAGTCCTTCATAGAATAAAATTCCTTTAAGTTTAAAAAGTGTTTACATACATCTCCCCTCATAACAATCTCTGTAGAGGATGTGGAATAAGAATTTGCATCATTCATCATCTTCATTCACAATGAAGATTAAAAAATTATCTGAACTAGGAAAGGAAAATGCTGCAGTCAGTAGAAGAGCTAGAACAGGAACTCAAGAAAATTATGGTATTTACTAACCACCTACTCTATGTAGATATCGTGCTAAGCCCTTTCCATAAACTTCCCTACTTCATTTAATCAGCAAATCTGTTCTAACAAATTAGCCTAGTATTTGCCTCATTTTATAGTCTGTCTCTTTACAAAATCCATGTGCTGAAACACCATGCCCCACTCCCTTCCCCAGAGCCTTTGCCTCTGTCCAATGCTTTTTCATGGTAACGCTACTTCTGTATCTCAGCTTCCTCAGAACTGAGACTATCTGTAACTGGGCTCATTAACACCATTTCTTTAGTTTATTTGTTTGGATGTGAGAAGTGAATCTGTTTCCTAGCAACCTTGTCCCCTGCTCCCTCAATTTTCCCTACTCATTATCTTCCCCACGATCAACTACAAATTAGCCAAATTATGGGCAGATTTTAGATTTCCCAGAAATGGAAAGGGCACTTGTAAACATTTGTTCTCTTGGCAGGAAGTGGGTCTGAGGACCCATGCTTATTGAGGACAAAGCAGGAGACGGAATTGGCCATTAATCTCAATGTGTCTACAGATTTGGAAGCCAAGTCTCCCAGGATAGCCATTTAAGTGTCTTTTGGCCATTTCATGGAAGAACCAATGGTAACCCCAAGAAGAGCCATAATTTTAGTTAAAACAGGATCCCCTTAACATCTGTCTGCAAAGTTAATCGTTAATTTGGTAGTTTTACTCTCAGATCTGTTGTGAAATCCACTAATGAGTCCTGCACCTCACCCTTTAATATTCTAAGAGTCAGACAATTTTTCAAACTGACCTTTAAACACTCTCTGTAGAAACATGAAAAAATGCCCCCTACACCAATATAAAACACAACTTGGAACTCATGCAGCCCCTATCTAATGTGTCTCCTCAAGCCAAGGGCTTTCCACTCATTCATAATCTGTATTAAAGGCAATTTTCACAAACATGGTCCTTTCTGGGGTTATTTCCTAAAATGTTCTAGGAAATGAACTGTGTCCAGGAACCAAAGCGAACCCTGAGTGGAATATAAACTATCATTTTTCTCTTGTATATTTGTTGTTTATTCAATACATATTTTAAATACCTACCATGTGCCAGACAACATTCTAGACACTGGAGACGCTGCAGAAAACAAGTCAAAGGCCTTTGTGCTAGGCCTTAGGAATGGGTTTCTTCTTCCAGGCCCATCTTAGGATTTTATGTCCCTGCCAAGGTGATATCAGGGCTTCATTTGGCCAACAAAATATAGACGGTACTGATGTGTGTCACTGTGAGGTACTAACTTTACCCACGGCATTTTTTTTGCCATGTTCTCCTTTCCCTCTGCCTCAGCAACTAGCCTGGGTCCCGGAGTTAGGGAAATGCATAGTAAGGTTCCCAGAAGACCCAGCATGGACATATATCATCAACTACTGCAGGATTTGGCCAGCAGCCCGCAATGCAGTGGGGCTCTCTCTTTGTTTCCAGGCAGATCGGCAGGTCGAGAAATAATAGACACAAACAAGATAGTGAAAGCTGGGTCCAGGGGGGTCACTGCCTTCTGGTCCTGCGGTGCCAACAATGCACTGTATATACCAGCATTTATTATTAAGTTTAGTGAGGGCAGGAGTAGGTTAGTGAGGGATTTAGGGTCATTTGATTATGAGGTGAGATGGTCACATGGGGATGAAGTAATTTTTTAACATAACATCTGTATGCAGAAGTACAGTATACAGGGATAAGAATTTACAATATTGTGTGTGCATCAGTAATTTCTAACAGAGCCTTAAAACAGAAACACAGTCTTTCCATAACCTATGATTAGCAAGGTATTTATCAGCAGTAACAGTTGCAGCAAAAGCTGGTTACAAACAATCCATAGAAACAGGACGTGAAGCTAGACAACTGGTTAGACCAGAAATTCTCAGAAGGGAGTATGCCTTAACCCTAAAGAGGCCCAGAAGAGCCATGGCAAGATGAGGGCATTTATAGCCCTATCTTATCCATATGGACAGGCGCCCCCCATGCGTCCATTTATAGGCTTTCCACAAGCGTCGCATTCCATTCCCAGAGCTATGAACATCTGCTTTTCTGGGATAGGAATCTTGGTGATGTGAAACTTCCCTGACTGCACGTCCATTCATAGGCTCTCTGCAGGAGGAAGCACATCATGCGCTGTTGGCTCATTCTGGCGGTCCAACCTGGCATTGTCTTTACACAATCCTGCATGCAATTTTGTATTTAAAATAATCAGGAGCATTTCATCTTTTATTCCGTAGCAATAGTTTCAGGGGGTCTCCCTACAATCAACAAAGCTTCAAAGTTGCTTTACAGCATTTTAAAAAAAAAATTAAGCCTAACCTTTTCTGTCTCAGCTGTTATGGACACACAGATTCAAAATTCAATCTCTCAAGATTTCCACCACAGTCCAGCCTATCCAGACCATCTGCCATAAATGCCAATAGTCACACCAAGAAAACCTTACTTCTCTGACATAAGAGAGTTCTGCGGTGACCTTAACTATAATGGCAATGGCAGGATATAAAGAGCCTCAGACTGGAAGAGAGAAGGTGAAGGCCCTTGTTTCTGTAGGTTGGCTCAGAATCTGGTGTGTGCAGATGGCAGATGGCCGAATAAGTCACAAGTTTCCAAACCTGACCCTGTGTCATATTCACTACGTGATCTTGTTAAAAGAATTCCCTCAGCAGATTACTAGATCTCAGCGGGTGCCCTGAAATTAAGTACCTCAGGGTGATTTTTATGCATCCCGTGGATTTTGGAGTCATGGTTCTAAGTTATAAGCCTTCTCAGAACCCATATCATGTTGGTCCTCCATGTGACAGAATCTCCACCTTGGTTCCTGATTTGCACCCCTATTCCCTTTCTGATATTGGGATTCTGTACTGAACCCGAGCTTACTGGGCTGGAGCTTTGACCATACATACATCAATCCCTTTGTTCTGAGAAATGAATCCTGTCTCCTGAGCTCTCAGACACGTGACACCTTGTGATTCAGAGGAATACCACTCTTTGAGGAGGCCCTGCTGGAACTCATTGTGGTACATAATTTTGCGATACAGGTAACCCTGCAATCTCTTCTCAGAGAAGAAGCCTCCACTCACCAGCCCCTGTTGAAGGGGTGAGTCAAGGTAGGTGTGTTTTATTATAGCATGGGATCCACTGGAAGTTATAGCCCACTTAACACACACAAAAAATCCAATACAAGGAAAGCCAACCTACTAACTGCCTAACAAGCTAATGTTCTACCTTGAAAGTTTGAACAAAGAAAAGAAAAATCCCTGATCAGAGACTAGCGAATATTTATACTGAAAGTTACATGGAATCGGGGATAAAACAGTCATTCTCAGCCATGTTCTTACTGAGAAGTTATCTCAGAAAGTTAAATGCCAGAGAAAGCCTATTAACATTTTTTAATACAGCCAGAGAGAGAGACAAAAACAGACAGAAGAGGAAATTCTATCCTTAGAACATTTTAAGCAAAATATACAATTTTTGACGCAGGGTGTATACTGTTTCATTTTTGTGAAGTGCCCCTGTAAACTTTCAAAACGCTCCTTTCCTTGAACTAGCATGAATGGGGTTGGTTTCTCACAAATAAAAAATTTGCCTGCGTTGAATTCCCTCAAATGATGAACATGGGTCTTATTCTAGCCTGGAGTTACCACTTGGACAAATTGAACTTTTACCCAGGATCAGGCCAGCCTTTCCCTCCAGCCTGGGCCACTAAAGCCCCAAATTCCTCTCAGCTGAGTCAATCCTAATTAAGTTAATATTTCAACAAGATTGCTTATTTTTACTTTCCCCTACTTCCAAATTGAAATAGCTTTATTGTTCTCTTGGTACTTTTCAAAGTATTGAAACAATCAACCAAACCTAGTCGACTAAGTATTAACTAGTTGGATAGATAGCATATTAAAATATATCACATCACCTTAATAGAGAATTCCCTCCCATGCTTTCTTAGAAATCCAGATGTGCCCTGATTTAAGGAAATTTATAATTTTTAAAAACTCAACTTATAATAAACTGTGAGGGTAAATTTGCTTTTCCAAAGCAGCTCTTCAAATTCAGAGCACTCTATGCCTACCTGTAGGCATTTATTTCAAAGATAAAAACTGAGTGGAGATGGGAGAGAATACAGTAATGTCCACTGAAGGATATCTTAGAGAAGCATAAAAATTAATAGGAAAACAGGATTTGATTTGCATAGCATATTTCCAAGACATATCACTTACTACTAATGATCAACCCAGAGAGCCATTACTCTTGAGATTCTGGAATGAGCTTAGCTGACTCTAACCTCATCCAAATCCACTCAAGACAATCCCTAGGAAATGATTTCACTTATTTCCAATAATCAAATTTCTATGAACTGTTTACACAATCTCTTCACAACACAAATATCTCAATGCTGAGAGTCTTTACTGCCTCCACACCTTAATGTACCAATTTATTTATTCCTAAAATGCAACCGGTATGACCTAGGACACTCATTAAGAAAGGGAAACTGGGTTCTCAACAGACTCACCAAATTTTGCTCAGTAACACTCTTCCAGAGTAAAGAGAAATGTGCAAAGCATGAATTTATTGGAGGGAAGATGTAAGGTGTTAACAGTATATTTATCTACTCATTATATAGGTATTAATGAATGTCTTATATAATCTATCGTTAGTGATTATATTTTTCTTAAATTTATATCTGAGAAGTTGGTAAGTAATCAATTTTAAAGCATTTATTATAGCATAATGGTTAAGGATGTGGCCCCCAGAATCAGTATCTTAGGTTTGAATCCTAACTATAAACCTTCTAAGGTTTAGTTTCATCGTCTGTAAAACAGGAATGAAAACAAGGATAACCTTGCAAGATGATTGTGTAAGTTAAATTATATAATCCATGTGCAATGGTTTATTTTGTCAAGTTGACAAGGCCACAAAGTACCCAAACATTTGCTCAAACATTATTCTGAGTGTATCTGTGAGGATGTTTTTGGATGAGATTAACATTTGAATCAGGAGATCCAGTAAAGCAGATTGCTCTCCCTAATGTGAGTGGACCTCATTCAATCAGTTGAAGGCCTGAACAGAACAAAATGGCTGACTTTCCTTTGTGTAAGAGGACACTTCTCCTGTTTGACTGCAGGAGCTAGAACATTAGTCTTTTCCAATCTTCAGTCCATAGCACTGAAACTTTGGCTCCTCTTGGGTCTCAGGCCTGCCAGCTTTTTTATTAGAACTTACACAACTGGCTCTCCTAGTTCCCAGACCTTCAGACTCAGGCTGGAACTACACATTGACTCTCCTGGGTCTCCAACTTGCCAATTGCCGTCCTTGGGATTTCTTAGCCTCCATAATCATTTAAGCCAATCCTTATAGTAAATCTCTATTTCTCTGTCTCTCCACCTATTCACACACACACACACACACACACACACACACTCACTCACTCTCTCTCTCTCTATCGGTTCTGTTTCCCTGGAGAACTCTAATATGTCATGTAAAACATTTAGCACAATGCTAGACCCATAACAATCACTCAGTGAAAGTTTAGCCATTTTTATAATCAAGGGACTGCCTTGGTCATTGGTGGAAGCAACCACCAAAATGACTCAAATGAAACATTTACTTTCAGAGAACTCGTGGAGCTTATTCCCTTTAGCACCTATCCTTCCCCTTTAAAGCACACACAACACATCACCACTGTCGGTTTGTAAGTTCTATGGAGGTCCCAAAATAAATGTAAATCATGTTCCCCTCTAGGATGCTATCAAACTGAGGAATTCTGGAGGAACTGCAGGAGTCATGTACTGGTATAAAAATCCCAAGAGCCTCTGGGGAGAACCTAACCTCACCAGACAGACACACTTGGCCCAGGAACAAAGCCTCAGTCCTGGACAAGAGGTTACTTATAATCGGTTGACTGAAAATATAAAAAGCCAGTCCTAAAGAGATATCATCTTGTTTCCCATTAAATAGAAGTACTTAATTCCGTTTGCACTTTCTCAGCCCAGACTTTCTTCTTTTAATCTTCCAGAACACAGGACAGAATTAATTTGCATGGTCAATTCATCCTATACAAGGTTTAAATTTATCTTTTTGAAACCAATCTGCCACTGATTATCTCAGGAGTTAGGAGGCCAGAACATGGATCCAGTCTCCATGTAGATCAAAGCTACTACAGGCTGAAAAGTATTTAATGCTAACACTTGATCTGAGAGGAAAGAGGACACGACACGAAAGATGGTGGACAACGTTCTCTCTCCTGCAAGAACAGCACATCCCATCCTTGGAATGTTGCAGAGGCCCTGCCTAATGGTGTTTCTAGCCCTTCCCTGAAGCTTTCTAATCCCCACAGCTATAGCCACTCAGTACCCCATGCAGGTTCAGACACACTCTAGAAGTCAAAGACCTAAGTTATTACCACAGGTTCAAAATAAAGACACTGGAAATTTCAGAAATAACTCAAAAAAGCTTGAAAAGAAAATAACCTGTAATCAGAGCAGCAGCAAAGATAAATCTTTCCAGTATTATACTCACAAGCACACACACACAGAGTAGCATTATGTAAAAATGTTGTGTAACTTGCATTTTTTTTCACTAACTGCATAATTTGATCATTTTTTCATGTTATTAAACAATCTTCATTATTTTTATGGCTTTGAAACACTATTGAATATAAGTATTATAATATAGCTAACTAATCCCTTTTTGTTGGACAGGGGATTATTTCCACTGTTTTCACTATTCTAAATAATGTCACAATTAATGTTATTGAGTCATAATCTTTATGATCCTCTAGGGATTTCCTTAGGTTAAATACTTAGAACTGCTGGATCAAAAATGTGCACACTTTAGAGAATTTTTTATCAGATTTACAAATATTCTAAGAGCAGAGTATATTCCTCCAACAGTGTGAGGAACTGATTCAGAAAATATGAATCAGTCCTGAGGCATTAGACAGGTAACACAGCGTCCATCCTTCCATCCATGAAAAGATATTTATTGAGTTCATACTCTATATTATGTGCTAGGAACACAGCAGGGAAATAGACAGATATAAACCCTACCCTCCCTGTACTCACAACCTAGTAGGGAAATCAGACAAGCAATTTGGATACTGATTAGTTTAGCCTTGTGACTGCTTTTATTCTGACAATATGTTCCATTTTAAGACAAGACTCCTGCCTTATTGCTGGGACTAAGCGTCTTATGTTGGAAACTGGGTACCCTGTTTCTCCCTCACCAGGGGCCATGTCTTATTCTCATAAATTCTCTTGGAAATACTATAGAATCCTGGAACAGTGGCTGGCCCTGCTGAGAGCATTTCCCTTTGTCTACACGAGTTACCCACCAGTCGTGCCAGACTCCAGCTGCACACTACCCCTTTTTTGGAAAAGCAATGAAAATCATGGCCACTTTTGGCTTCACTCTACTCTCTCTGTGCCAGGATCTATACCAACCACTTACTATAAATTACTTTATTTAATTTAAACAACAATGTTATGAGAGCAATACTGTTGTTATACCCTCACTTCACTGGGTTTACCTGGGTCTCTATCTCTGTCCTGATACTTGTCCTGCTAGGCTGAACACACCCTGGTCATCCACTGTTAGGCCCATCTCTGAAGGTCTGTCACACCCAAGGGACAGCTGGGGCCTGGCACTCTCCAGAATCTGCTCTGACAAGGTATCAGGTTGCCTGGGGGCACACCCAGCTCCACTGCAATGATTCCCAAAGCTGAACCAAAGACCACCAGCTGCAGAACCAAGTGAGGTCCTTCCTTAAATGACAAAATGTGTGTATAAAATGAAATACTATTCAGCGATAAAAAGAAATGGGGTACTGAGATATAGGCAAACCTCAAAATATGCTAAGAGAAATAAGCCAGAGGAACTGGACAAATATTGTATGATTCCACTTAGATGAAATATCTGGAATAGGTAGATTCACAAAGACAGAAAGCAGATAAGTGATTGCCAAAGGCAAGGAGGAGAGAGGAATAGGAGTGATTGCTTAATTGATATAGGGTCTCACTTGGGGGTAATAAAACTGTTTTGGGAAACAGACAGCGGTGATGGCTGCACGTGACTGTGAATGTACTAAATGTCACTGAATTGTTTATTTTAAGATAGTTCATTTTAATTTTATGTCATGTTTATCTCAATTTTTAAAAGGGGAGGAGGCAAGAATCTACTGAGTCAAAGTAGTTAGGCCCAGGAATGTCCTTTTGTACAAGCTCCCAGGTGATCTGGTACACACTAAAATTTGAAAAACATGCCTTAAATAAAACCTCCCAGTACAGCTACATAGAAATTGTCATCCAAAGGAATGCAAAAATTAAAAGCTTTTTTTTTTCAAAGCTTGAAGACAAGTCCTAAAGCAAAAGCATGGTTATAACTAGCACAAAGAGCCTAATGGTGAGGTGGCACCACTCAGCTGCCTGGTGCCATTATTTCCAGTTAGCAAGGCCTTCCAAGGGTTTGCCAAGACCACCTGCATGTGCATGTAACACAGTCACTGCAATGGGGGAAATGACGACAGAAAACAGGAGCAAGAGATACATGGTGATATGTGAAGAAGGACAAACCCTAGGCAAGAGGAGGAGGGATATTGACTAATCAATATGACCAAGCAAAGTAATGGTGCAGCTCCTACATAGCTCTGAATTAAAGTAAATGGGAATCAATGGGCTAAAAACCAAGGATTCAATAAAGCCATTAAGTCATGGCAATTCCTTTTGAGGCAAATTCATTCCTTCATGGCTCTGTCCCCTGTTCCTACCAAAAGTCAATACTCTCCTGGCAAGGGATTTGGGGGATGTGGCTCCCAATAAAGACTTTGTCACTATTTCACTCCACCTGTTTATCCCTAGGAGAGGGATTTCTTTGCTTCTGGCTTTTTTCCATCAGTATGTTGGTTTTGCTTCAACCCGTAAGTTAACTGATTTGTGTTTCAAGGGAAACAAAACCTAATCTCATCTGCTGACACCTGACAAGGGGCCAGGTCTCTCAGTGGTTAGTGCTGCTGTTGAAACCTTCCCAGGGAGCTATATCGAGTCACAGTGTGTCCCTCACACATGAACACATTAGCAAGGCACTCTGTGACAGGTGCTATGTTAAGAATATCCTATGTATTGTCCTATTTAACTCTTACCACAACCCCACAAGATTCATTTTATGGATTGGGAAACTGAGTCTTGAATGGTTTAGTAACTCCTAATGTCTCCTGACTCCAAAGCCTGCCTAATGACCACTAGACTCAGCAGTGTCCACATGCCTCCCTAACTAAAACCCTCCAAGTCTCCAGGAAATGAGTGAGTTGCCAATGACCCTTCCAAAGCAGCCACCCACACCCCACAGCAGTTAGAGAGGATTTCTGAGCACATTGGGCACACACAAAATAGTCTCCCAGGTATAAAGTCTTATGTTGAGAGGGGCACTGGCCAACAGACGTCCACAGTTGCTGAGCTCCTTTTTTTTTTTTTTCTGAGATGGAGTCTCGCTCTGTCACCCAGGCTGGAGTGCAGTGGCATGATCTTGGCTCACTGCAACCTCCACCTCCCGGGTTCAAGCAATTCTCCTACCTCAGCCTCCCAAGTAGCTGGGATTACAGGTGCATGTAACAACCACATCTGACTAATTTTTGTGTTTTTAGTAGAGACAGGGTTTCGACATGTTCGCCAGGCTGGTCTCAAACTCCTGCCCACCTCAGCCTCCCAGATGATCTGCCCACCTCAACCTCCCAAAGTGCTGGGATTACAGGCGTGAGCCACCGCACCCAGCCAACAGTCCCTGAGCTCTTATCAGCCAGAACGCTCACCAGCATACAGCCGGGTTAGGAGACAGGAAGAGAATGATTCTGGTGAGTGTGTGCTAAAGACTAACAACTTCGATTTGCTTGAAGGAGAACACACATGCTATGTATTAAGGTAAATGAAAGCTATTGCTTTGGATTCAAAGAACCTGGGCCCTAATTTCCAGCTCTTCCACTTCAGCTATGTGACCTCGGGCAGTTTTGACCTTGCTGAGACTGAATTCTCATTTGCAAATTGGAGGTGTTTATCTTGCACAGTGGTGGCTATGAAGAGTGAATGAGATATTTCACATAAGAGCATTTATCATGTGCCTGGCACAGAGTGAATCTTAAATCGTAGCTGCCATTATTTCCCAAAACCAGATGACTGCTTTGCCAATAAACAACCTACATGCTGCTTTAGACATGCCTGACAAATGTTAGAGCCTGTGTTTACATAGACCGGTGCGCACACAAACCCGGGTGTTCTTTCCTGCTAACCAGTGTGTAGCCTAGTTTACATAGCAGCCTCTCTGAACCTCATAGAGATAACAATATTGGCTACTGCATAAGTGTGTGGTCTGGAATGTTAAAAAGGGAGAGGCCTTCGTGAAAGCCTGCCAATTTTATAGCTTTGATCACCCATTATAATGCTTTCTTTGCCCAGAGTTTTAGACTTCATCATTTTTTCTGTCCCAATACTGCAAAATATGTTGATCAGGAATTAATGCAGTGCAATAGAACTCTGCAGGGCATGCAGCTAGCACCAAAGAAGCCAAGACTTACAGCTCGTGGCACTTGGAGCCACTGGCCACTAGGGGCCGTTGGTAAGCCACAGAAAGCTGGAAGGATGCCTACCTGTCAGGTTTTTAAAAATCACATTTCTTATACAAAAAGCTTTCTGGACTCTCAAAAATCCAGCTCAGGGTCCTTTTGCAGGGAGGGATGGCTTTATTTTCTATAAAGGCTTTAGTCCCATTTCTTTCTGGGACTGAAGAAAAGGGAAGATGAGTCTTAACGAGCTCTGACCTAGTCAGTGAGGCACATGGTTGGTTGGCTGGGGTGGGGTTGGTGGGACTTGTGTGGCAGTATTTGCACAATCCTGAGAGATCCTCCACCTGCAAGAATTCCCCCAATACCCAGTGACTGAAATCTCTTTATGTCTTATTAACACTATGAACTTCTAAAGCCCGGTGATAAATACAGATATTCAGGATGGGACCATGTGTCAGACCACGATTAGATGCGCGATACAGGAAAAGGAGTCAGTGCACACCAAAGAAAAGCATGCAAAGATAGAGCTCCTAAAAGTGGGTTTGAATTCTAGCTTAGCCACTTATTAGCTGTGAAAACTTGGGCAAGTTACTTAATCCCTCTAAGCTTCCATTTCCTTTGAAACCCCTATATCATAGGTTTGTTGCATGGGTTTAAATGAGAATGTATACAAAATTGTACACACATAGAAAGTCTAAGCAATTTTTATTAGTTGTTATTCTTCTTTTGTTGAGTGAAAGTAAGACTGGAATTCAAGGCTAGAGAGCAGACATGCTGTCAGGCAGTTGGGGTTGAGGAAGCAAAATGAGGGTACAAGGAAAGTTTAAAACGGGGATCCCCAAACCCCAGGCCACGGACGGACTGGTACCAGTCCATGACCTGTTAGGAAGTGGGCTGCACAGCAGGAGGTGAGCGGCAGGTGAGCGAGCATTACCGCCTGAGCTCCACCTCTTGTCAGATTAGTGGCAGCATTAGATTCTCATAGAAGTGCAAACCCTATTGTGAACTGAACATGCAAGGGATCTAGGTTGTGAGCTCTTTATGAGAATCTAATGCCTGATGATCTGAGGTGGAACAGTTTCATCCCCAAACCATCCTGACCCTGCCCCTCTATGCCCACCATCCATGGGAAAATTACACAAAACTGGTTCCTGGTGCCAAAAAGGTTGGGGGCCACTGGTTTAAAAGACAGAAGAAAGCCAAAGTAGATGTCTACAGCTCATTGAAGCCCAGATGAAGAAAGTAAAGAAGCCCCTAGATAGGTGTTCACATATTCAGAATTCTTTTATGGTTTGATTGTAAGATGTATACTGGTGCGTGCGTGTGTGTGTGTGTGTGTGTGTGTGTGTGTGAAGTTAGGGGTGTTAAAACTGTAGCTCAACTTTATATCCTAGATGCCAGAGAACTTGTAAAGTCCTCTAGAGCTAGGACACCAGAGGAAAAAAGGAACTAGAAAAATACCAGTTGGTAGACAGAGATCAGGGGAAATGAAGAAGGCTAAAAGACTACACAACTCTGGGTCTCATACCATGAGAAGCAAAGGAAATTAGGGCACACCTGCAGGAGGGCAAGTGGCTTGGGAGGGTACACAAACAGCCCCTGAAGAGAAGGTGAAGAAACATGGATGTTCTACTGGAAAAAGATAAACACAAAGGAAATTTGATCCCTATCTTTGGAGCACTGAAAGACAGTATGGGGAAATAGGAGAGACTGGCTGCCTTATACGTGGCCCCCAAAAGGTAGAGTTAGAATCAATGGGTGTCCAAGAGTTCAGAAATCCCCTAAGGTTATATCTCACCGCGCGCGCGCACGTGTGTGTGTGTGTGTGTGTGTGTGTGTGTGTGTTTAGGTACACACTAAACAAATGTACATCTTTTTGGAAAAAAGGATATTTAAAGCTTTCTTTATCAGATTTTCGTGACCTCAAAAACTTAAGAACTCTTGATATAAATAATAACAGCTAATATTTATCAAGCAATTACTAAGCACCAAGGACTGGGCCAAGTCTTTACATAAGTTATTAAATCCTCACAAGAATCCTCAAGAGGCGGAATAGCTGACTATGAACGCAGGCCTTGGAGCCAGTCTGCTTTAGTTTATATATCAATTCTGTCATTAACTAGCTACATAACCTCTGGCAACTCACTTTCTCACTTCCCTCATTACAAAATGGGGATAATAATAACCACCTCAAAAGGTGTGAGAATTAATTAGTATTAGGGTGGTGCAAAAGTAATTGAGGTTTTTGGTACGGTAATAGCAAAAAATTTTGGTATTGGAATGTCAAAAACTGCAATTACTTTTGTACCAACCTACTATATGTAAAGATTTTGGACAACATCTGACAAATAGTATGCTTCCTAACTACTATCACTTTCTAACTATTAACACTCATTGGTGTGCTGGTCAATGTTTTAAAACAAGCTCTCGAAGAGAAGAAAGAAAAGAGAAACTCTAAGTTGTAATATTCGACAATTTCTGTAGTATAAATATTCCCACCTAGATCCATTTCAAGCTAGCAAAGTGAAATCAACCAGCTCACAAAATTCTTAAACAATTAACAACTGGCTTTCATGAGATAGTACAGGATAGCTCCAGCACACCACTACATTAAAGTTTTTTCTTACTCTCTCTCTTTCTTACTAAGTGCTGGCTGGAAATGGTTCCCTGGTTCCTTGAAGGAGCAGAGTTTATGTAGAACTGAGAGAAGCAATGCTCATTTTCTGTTAGAAGATGCAGGTTAGAGAAAGGAAGTATAAGAGAGTCTGGCAAGAGAACAAAAACCTGTTTGGGTCAAGCAATATTTCTGAAAATGATGGGCATGATCTTTCTTGGGGTAAGAGGGAATTAAACAGCTACCATATACTAAGGGCTTATTACTTGCAAACCTTCATTATTTCATTTAATTCTGACAACAGCCCTTTAAGGTAGATGGTTGTACTTGCCCCAGATTCACAGAGGAGAAAAGGGGGCTCAAAGACATTAGGAAACTCTTCCAGGTGGGACAAGAGCTGAGAGTCAAGCTTAGCTAAGGGCCCAAGCCTGCGTGACCCTAGAGCCTGAAATCATTCCACTTTTCTATATTGCTGCTTAAGCAACAGGGAAATATCCCGGGAAGGCAACTTGGGTTCACCCCCAGTGGAAAGGGGCATCCCCAAAACCCTGGGTAAATTCTATAGGTGGTGCATCAATTTTTACAATCTCTCCAGCAGTCCTGTTCCAGAAAGCCCTTTCATAGATGGGTCCTCCAAGCTTCTCCATGATCAGAAGGCTCCTTAGCCACCCAAATCTCCAAGACCTTTCTACTGCTGCCACCATGGGATTACTCTCCCGGTGCTTCTCTGGGACTACCAGTATCTCATGCCCTTATCCTTCCAGAATCCCTCTCGACAATCAGTTTAGGTACCCAACTTGAGGTCATTTGGGATAGCTGCAATCGTGGAGCCATATAGTCAGGTAGTATAGGAAGACATGCAAAAATGCTGAGCCTTCAACCATCCCTGAAGGCACTCTCTTTCCTCTAGAGAGGCCATACAGGGTGTAATTTGTATGACAGATCCTGCAGTTACATTGCTCAGCTCCAATCATGGCTCTGTATTTGCTAATAATGTGACTTTGGGCAATTTACATAACTTCTATGTGCCCCAGTCTGTTCAAATATGAAATGGATAACAATAGGGTCCTCTTCAAAGCACTATTGTGAGGAATCAATAAAATAACATGTAAAGGGGTATTAAAAGGGGCTTAAATTGATGGTATAAACAAGTTTTACACTCAATAAATGTTAAGCATTATAGCTTGCCCATAGATCCATCTGCCAAATCCATTTTTTAAAAAGGTATTGTCGGGGGGAGGAGCCAAGATGGCCGAATAGGAACAGCTCCAGTCTACAGCTCCCAGCGTGAGCGACGCAGAAGACGGGTGATTTCTGCATTTCCATCTGAGGTACCGGGTTCATCTCACTAGGGAGTGCCAGACAGTGGGCGCAGGCCAGTGTGTGCGCGCACCGTGCGCGAGCCGAAGCAGGGCGAGGCATTGCCTCACCTGGGAAGCGCAAGGGGTCAGGGAGTTCCCTTTCCGAGTCAAAGAAAGGGGTGACGGACGCACCTGGAAAATCGGGTCACTCCCACCCGAATATTGCGCTTTTCAGACCGGCTTAAAAAACGGCGCACCACGAGACTATATCCCACACCTGGCTGAGAGGGTCCTACGCCCACGGAATCTCACTGATTGCTAGCACAGCAGTCTGAGATCAAACTGCCAGGCGGCAACGAGGCTGGGGGAGGGGCGCCCGCCATTGCCCAGGCTTGCTTAGGTAAACAAAGCAGCCAGGAAGCTCGAACTGGGTGGAGCCCACCACAGCTCAAGGAGGCCTGCCTGCCTCTGTAGGCTCCACCTCTGGGGGCAGGGCACAGACAAACAAAAAGACAGCAGTAACCTCTGCAGACTTAAGTGTCCCTGTCTGACAGCTTTGAAGAGAGCAGTGGTTCTCCCAGCACGCAGCTGGAGATCTGAGAACGGGCAGACTGCCTCCTCAAGTGGGTCCCTGACCCCTGACCCCCGAGCAGCCTAACTGGGAGGCACCCCCCAGCAGGGGCACACTGACACCTCACACGGCAGGGTATTCCAACAGACCTGCAGCTGAGGGTCCTGTCTGTTAGAAGGAAAACTAACAACCAGAAAGGACATCTACACCGAAAACCCATCTGTACATCACCATCATCAAAGACCAAAAGTAGATAAAACCACAAAGATGGGGAAAAAACAGAACAGAAAAACTGGAAACTCTAAAACGCAGAGCACCTCTCCTCCTCCAAAGGAACGCAGTTCCTCACCAGCAACGGAACAAAGCTGGATGGAGAATGATTTTGACGAGCTGAGAGAAGAAGGCTTCAGACGATCAAATTACTCTGAGCTACGGGAGGACATTCAAACCAAAGGCAAAGAAGTTGAAAACTTTGAAAAAAATTTAGAAGAATGTATAACTAGAATAACCAATACAGAGAAGTGCTTAAAGGAGCTGATGGAGCTGAAAACCAAGGCTCGAGAACTACGTGAAGAATGCAGAAGCCTCAGGAGCCGATGCGATCAACTGGAAGAAAGGGTATCAGCAATGGAAGATGAAATGAATGAAATGAAGCGAGAAGGGAAGTTTAGAGAAAAAAGAATAAAAAGAAATGAGCAAAGCCTCCAAGAAATATGGGACTATGTGAAAAGACCAAATCTACATCTGATTGGTGTACCTGAAAGTGATGTGGAGAATGGAACCAAGTTGGAAAACACTCTGCAGGATATTATCCAGGAGAACTTCCCCAATCTAGCAAGGCAGGCCAACGTTCAGATTCAGGAAATACAGAGAACGCCACAAAGTTTCTCCTCGAGAAGAGCAACTCCAAGACACATAATTGTCAGATTCACCAAAGTTGAAATGAAGGAAAAAATATTAAGGGCAGCCAGAGAGAAAGGTCGGGTTACCCTCAAAGGAAAGCCCATCAGACTAACAGCGGATCTCTCGGCAGAAACCCTACAAGCCAGAAGAGAGTGGGGGCCAATATTCAACATTCTTAAAGAAAAGAATTTTCAACCCAGAATTTCATATCCAGCCAAACTAAGCTTCATAAGTGAAGGAGAAATAAAATACTTTATAGACAAGCAAATGCTGAGAGATTTTGTCACCACCAGGCCTGCCCTAAAAGAGCTCCTGAAGGAAGTGCTAAACATGGAAAGGAAAAACCGGTACCAGCCACTGCAAAATCATGCCAAAATGTAAAGACCATCGAGACTAGGAAGAAACTGCATCAACTAACGAGCAAAATCACCAGCTAACATCATAATGACAGGATCAAATTCACACATAACAGTATTAACTTTAAATATAAATGGACTAAATTCTGCAATTAAAAGACACAGACTGGCAAGTTGGATAAAGAGTCAAGACCCATCAGTGTGCTGTATTCAGGAAACCCATCTCACGTGCAGAGACACACATAGGCTCAAAATAAAAGGATGGAGGAAGATCTACCAAGCCAATGGAAAACAAAAAAAGGCAGGGGTTGCAATCCTAGTCTCTGATAAAACAGACTTTAAACCAACAAAGATCAAAAGAGACAAAGAAGGCCATTACATAATGGTAAAGGGATCAATTCAACAAGAGGAGCTAACTATCCTAAATATTTATGCACCCAATACAGGAGCACCCAGATTCATAAAGCAAGTCCTGAGTGACCTACAAAGAGACTTAGACTCCCACACATTAATAATGGGAGACTTTAACACCCCACTGTCAACATTAGACAGATCAACGAGACAGAAAGTCAACAAGGATACCCAGGAATTGAACTCAGCTCTGCACCAAGCGGACCTAATAGACATCTACAGAACTCTCCACCCCAAATCAACAGAATATACATTTTTTTCAGCACCACACCACACCTATTCCAAAATTGACCACATAGTTGGAAGTAAAGCTCTCCTCAGCAAATGTAAAAGAACACAAATTATAACAAACTATCTCTCAGACCACAGTGCAATCAAACTAGAACTCAGGATTAAGAATCTCACTCAAAGCCGCTCAACTACATGGAAACTGAACAACCTGCTCCTGAATGACTACTGGGTACATAACGAAATGAAGGCAGAAATAAAGATGTTCTTTGAAACCAACGAGAACAAAGACACCACATACCAGAATCTCTGTGACGCATTCAAAGCAGTGTGTAGAGGGAAATTTATAGCACTAAATGCCTACAAGAGAAAGCAGGAAAGATCCAAAATTGACACCCTAACATCACAATTAAAAGAACTAGAAAAGCAAGAGCAAACATATTCAAAAGCTAGCAAAGGCAAGAAATAACTAAAATCAGAGGAGAACTGAAGGAAATAGAGACACAAAAAACCCTTCAAAAAATCAATGAATCCAGGAGCTGGTTTTTTTGAAAGGATCAACAAAATTGATAGACCGCTAGCAAGACTAATAAAGAAAAAAAGAGAGAAGAATCAAATAGACACAATAAAAAATGATAAAGGGGATATCACCACTGATCCCACAGAAATACAAACTACCATCAGAGAATACTACAAACACCTCTACGCAAATAAACTAGAAAATCTAGAAGAAATGGATACATTCCTCGACACATACACTCTCCCAAGACTAAACCAGGAAGAAGTTGAATCTCTGAATAGACCAATAACAGGCTCTGAAATTGTGGCAATAATCAATAGTTTACCAACCAAAAAGAGTCCAGGACCAGATGGGTTCACAGCTGAATTCTACCAGAGGTACAAGGAGGAACTGGTACCATTCCTTCTGAAACTATTCCAATCAATAGAAAAAGAGGGAATCCTCCCTAACTCATTTTATGAGGCCAGCATCATTCTGATACCAAAGCCGGGCAGAGACACAACCAAAAAAGAGAATTTTAGACCAATATCCTTGATGAACATTGACGCAAAAATCCTCAATAAAATACTGGCAAACCAAATCCAGCAGCACATCAAAAAGCTTATCCACCATGATCAAGTGGGCTTCATCCCTGGGATGCAAGGCTGGTTCAATATACGCAAATCAATAAATGTAATCCAGCATATAAACAGAGCCAAAGACAAAAACCACATGATTATCTCAATAGATGCAGAAAAAGCCTTTGACAAAATTCAACAACGCTTCATGCTAAAAACTCTCATTAAATTAGGTATTGATGGGACGTATTTCAAAATAATAAGAGCTATCTATGACAAACCCACAGCCAATATCATACTGAATGGGCAAAAACTGGAAGCATTCCCTTTGAAAACTGGCACAAGACAGGGATGCCCTCTCTCACCGCTCCTATTCAACATAGTGTTGGAAGTTCTGGCCAGGGCAATCAGGCAGGAGAAGGAAATAAAGGGTATTCAATTAGGAAAAGAGGAAGTCAAATTGTCCCTGTTTGCAGACAACATGATTGTTTATCTAGAAAACCCCATCGTCTCAGCCCAAAATCTCCTTAAGCTGATAAGCAACTTCAGCAAAGTCTCAGGATACAAAATCAATGTACAAAAATCACAAGCATTCTTATACACCAACAACAGACAAACAGAGAGCCAAATCATGAGTGAACTCCCATTCACAATTGCTTCAAAGAGAATAAAATACCTAGGAATCCAACTTACAAGGGATGTGAAGGACCTCTTCAAGGAGAACTACAAACCACTGCTCAAGGAAATAAAAGAGGACACAAACAAATGGAAGAACATTCCATGCTCATGGGTAGGAAGAATCAATATCGTGAAAATGGCCATACTGCCCAAGGTAATTTACAGATTCAATGCCATCCCCATCAAGCTACCAATGACTTTCTTCACAGAATTGGAAAAAACTACTTTAAAGTTCATATGGAACCAAAAAAGAGCCCGCATCGCCAAGTCAATCCTAAGCCAAAAGAACAAAGCTGGAGGCATCACACTACCTGACTTCAAACTATACTACAAGGCTACAGTAACCAAAACAGCATGGTACTGGTACCAAAACAGAGATATAGATCAATGGAACAGAACAGAGCCCTCAGAAATAATGCCGCATATCTACAACTATCTGATCTTTGACAAACCTGAGAAAAACAAGCAATGGGGAAAGGATTCCCTATTTAATAAATGGTGCTGGGAAAACTGGCTAGCCATATGTAGAAAGCTGAAACTGGATCCCTTCCTTACACCTTATACAAAAATCAATTCAAGATGGATTAAAGATTTAAACGTTAGACCTAAAACCATAAAAACCCTAGAAGAAAACCTAGGCATTACCATTCAGGACATAGGCGTGGGCAAGGACTTCATGTCCAAAACACCAAAAGCAATGGCAACAAAAGCCAAAATTGACAAATGGGATCTAATTAAACTAAAGAGCTTCTGCACAGCAAAAGAAACTACCATCAGAGTGAACAGGCAACCTACAACATGGGAGAAAATTTTCGCAACCTACTCATCTGACAAAGGGCTAATATCCAGAATCTACAATGAACTCAAACAAATTTACAAGAAAAAAACAAACAACCCCATCAAAAAGTGGGTGAAGGACATGAACAGACACTTCTCAAAAGAAGACATTTATGCAGCCAAAAAACACATGAAAAAATGCTCATCATCACTGGCCATCAGAGAAATGCAAATCAAAACCACTATTAGATATCATCTCACACCAGTTAGAATGGCAATCATTAAAAAGTCAGGAAACAACAGGTGCTGGAGAGGATGTGGAGAAATAGGAACACTTTTACACTGTTGGTGGGACTGTAAACTAGTTCAACCATTGTGGAAGTCAGTGTGGCGATTCCTCAGGGATCTAGAACTAGAAATACCATTTGACCCAGCCATCCCATTACTGGGTATATACCCAAATGACTATAAATCATGCTGCTATAAAGACACATGCACACGTATGTTTATTGCGGCATTATTCACAATAGCAAAGACTTGGAACCAACCCAAATGTCCAACAATGATAGACTGGATTAAGAAAATGTGGCACATATACACCATGGAATACTATGCAGCCATAAAAAATGATGAGTTCATGTCCTTTGTAGGGACATGGATGAAATTGGAAACCATCCTTCTCAGTAAACCATCGCAAGAACAAAAAACCAAACACCGCCTATTCTCACTCATAGGTGGGAATTGAACAATGAGATCACATGGACACAGGAAGGGGAATATCACACTCTGGGGACTGTGGTGGGGTCGGGGGAGGGGGGAGGGATAGCATTGGGAGATATACCTAATGCTAGATGACACGTTAGTGGGTGCAGCGCACCAGCATGGCACATGTATACATATGTAACTAACCTGCACAATGTGCACATGTACCCTAAAACTTAAAGTATAATAATAATAAAAAAAAAGAAAAAAAAAAGATTAAAAATAAAAAATAAAAAAATTAAAAAAAAAAAAAAAGGTATTGTCATCCCCATTCTGGAACTCTGGTCCTAGGACATTTTGACTTACTTTTATTTACCCACAACCAGTTGTTAGTCTTTTGGAAAGTTAATGATCACTTTGAAAAACGAAATGTATGTGCCTTCTGTTTAGCACAATATACATATGAAATATATGTATATATACATATAAAATATTCAGTGAAATATACCTATAAAAACTTTTCAGGGGAGTGTCTTGGCCTTCTAAAGCCCATACTTGGCCATGCTCACAAAACTAAAATCCCCTGCCTTCCATTTAATAATGTCCATCCTTGATTTAACTCTCAGCGTGTTACTTCTTCCTGCTCCTTTCCTATTTTTACCTGTTTTCTTCAATTCTTGCTACATGCAAGGGTTTTCAGCCGTTCCCTTCTTGCCTGCCTCCATCCCCCCATTAAGCAACATAGCTCCATAACTACTAAAAATAAAAATATTTGGGTCAATAATTTCAAGTATACATTGCCAGAGCTAAAAAAAAATAGTTGCAATATTATACAGGGAAGATCCTAAATTATCTTCCCCTCTAATAATTACAATTCCTCAGACTCCAATTTACATGCTATCTTGTCACGTCTACTTCTACCATATCTGAAGCCAACTCTTAGTTCATAATAATGCCTCCAAGTACAGGGCAAACTTGTTACTGTAGCTTATAGCATCTTTTCTTCCATGAGAATATATCCACAATATCTCTTCCAAAGGTAGCACTTCATTGGGGTCTATGCTGAAATTCAGCAGGTACCCAGAGATAAAACATTGTTTCTATAAGTGATCAACATGTTTAATCAATGGAAAGACCCTGGACTTTTTCCTGTCATGTAGAACTATATATACTACATGTGAGACCTTAGGCAAGTCCCTCTGAGCCTTGCCTTAGTTATCTGTAAAATGGGAATATGAATAGGAGTAAGGGTGATGGTAAGCACTGGATAAGAAAGCCTGTATTTACCACCCAGGAGTCATTTATCAGTTGAACACCTATTAATTAAGAACTTGCTATGAGTTGGCTGTCACACTGACACTAAGAATGCAACTATGAGATAGATGTATTGCATGCCCTAAAGTTGCTTGCCGTGTTTTCAGGAAAGCAGATCTTGGCAACTGTATGTTGGAAGAATACACAGGATGTTCTAGGAACCCAGAGAAGGAACACTCAGAAAAATACTTAGCACACAATAAGCACAATAGCAAATGTCAGTTCTCTTCCTCCCTTAGCTGACAGGTAGACAGACCTTCCAGTAACAAAACGAATAATCTTTTTACAGATAGTGGGTGCCCTAGAGGGTAAGTTGTTGGTAATGCCTGTCTTCTCAGACACTAACAGGTGTCATCTCCCATCATCCATCCAAAAAAAAGCAAGCGGGGGAAATCCCCAAAGCTTCCTTAGGCAGAGGAAAAAGAGCCATTTAGAACAAATGAGTTGAGCCCAACTGTTCACTCCATTCATTAGAAGACGTCATTGTCCTTATCTTGTGGCCAGGAGAGCAATAAGAAAGAAAACAGCCAGGAAAATTAATTAGGGCCCAGATAATTTTAGTAAAATGTTATTAGAGGTCAGTGTAAATTGTGGGGAGGGGAAGATGTACTGCCTCTGGGACACCTAGTCCTGTTTTAACTGGATGGCTCAGGTCTAACCAGTCCAAAAAAACACCCACTGACTCCCAAGCATTGCTTGTAGGGCTTATTTGCTTATAGTTGAATCATATTTCTTAGCCTTCTTCCTCCAACTTGCACCTTGCCCAACATCTGCTCCCATCCCACTTTTCTTAATGACCCCCTGTCTTCCATTCCAGGAGCCCCTACCTGAAGCACATTTGTGGCACTTTCTCTGTTAGACAAGTGCCCAGACAAGAACCAGGCTTTTGGTCCCAGATTCTGCCACTAATCTACCATAACACTTTGGGCAAATCTATCCTCCTCACTTGGTCTCAGTTTTCTTATGTGTAAAATGGGAAAGCTGGAATCGACTTTTCATTATCTCTATTATCTTTCTACTATATTTGATTCTAAAAAAAAGGTACATGCATGTCCTATGATTTCAATAGAACAGTTTTAATAGCTGATGAGTAAGCACCCTTACCTGACATTAGATAACAGGATGGTATTGCTTTATGTTTGCTCCCATTGAAAATTCAAATCCAAGTGTTTTCATCCATTTTGTGCTGCTATAACAGAATATCTAAGATTGGGATATTTATAAAGAACAGAGATATATTTCTGGCAGTTCTTGAGGATGAAAAGTCCAAGGTCAAGAGGCCACACATCTGGTGAGGGCCTTCTTGCTGCATCATTTCATGGTTGAAGGCAGAAGGGCAAGAGAGGAAGAGATCAAACTCACAGCCTCAGTCTCTTTTATAATCAGTGTTAATCCATTAAAGAGGGTGGAGTTCCATGACCTAACCACCTCCCATTAGACCCTACCTCTCAACACTGTTGTATTGGGGATTAAGTTTCCAACACAGGAACTTTAGAAAATATATTCAAACCATAACACAAAGTAAAGGAGTTGACTTCTCTGCCAGATATCTGATGTGAGCTAGCTTTCTCTTTCGAGCTTCCCGCTCATCCTTCCACAGCCCTGTCAACATCCCAGCTTTCCTTCACCTGTATTGCTGGATTAGTTCCTTACATTGGTGTAGTATCTTATTCTTATAAAGGAAAGCAAGGCTGAGAAAACTTAATGGAATTGTTAAAGTCATGTATCAATTAAGTGATAGTCTAAACTCAGACTCAAATCTAACCATCGCTTTTTTCACTGTATTACAATGCTCCTCTTAGACAGCATTAGAAATTTCAAAACTGATAGTTCGACATTTCAAAACTAACATTCTAACAGTCTAGGATGGCAAGAGGGTGATACTAATTTAAAAATCACTAATGATTCCAGTCTAAAAAATAATTCAGTAATGAATAAAAGTATAGGAAAGACAAAGACCAGGTATGTAAGGAAGGAAAACAAGCAATTTTTCTTTGGCTTCACCAAAGAAGGTGAAACCAACTCTAATGGAGCTAAATCAGCTCCTTGGCAATAGGAAAAAATATTGCAAATGCAGTTTTGAGATTAAATTTTTTAAAAAGAGCAATGTAAGGATTTTTTCCTTCTCTTTTAGTTTTTTTATTTGCTCTTTTATTAATATTCTATATTTCATAGTTACAGAAAAAACCTCCTATTGCATAGTGAAAATAAATTGGTAACATCAGCATTTTCTCTTCACAGCTGGGTCCCAGGTTGGTAATGTTTTTCTCCCATAAAACCATAATCCTATAAAATTTAAGGTTATTAAGTTGCAGGTGAATAATTCATGAAGCAATTATAAAACATTTATGATGGAATATTGTGAGCTTCCAAATAAAAGAAAACATTTGGGGTCGCCAAATTGACAAACTTTGGGAGCTGCGTTTAGATCTCCCCTGAGGGACTGAGATGGGCCTTCTCTGCGCTTTGCAGCCTTGGACATTCAGAGACAGACTAAAGTCTCTCCAAGAGATTTCTGAAAGACACCTCAACAACTCAGTCAGCCGTTGTCACAATCAACTGAAGAGATGTAAGTACTGCCTGCTGATAATAATAATGGTGAGAAGAACAAAGCTTTGGAGAGTATATTCTGTGTTAGGCACTGTGAAAATCACTTTACATGCATTAGGGCACTAATCCTCACAATGACTCTCTAAAATCAACATTACTCTTATCAGCCCCATTATTTTGCCCATGAAACAGGATCAACAAGCTTAATAACTTGCCAAAGATCACATATGCAGCCAGTGGCTGAGCTGAGATTCAAACTCAAGCAGTCTAACCCTTGAGCTGCTACTCTTAATCACAATGATGTACAGCCAGGCAAGACAGGGGCTGGAGAATGAGGAATTATGACATCACTAATGTGTCATTTACACACAGTTTGTCCTATTCGTCGAGGCATTTTTACATGTATTATTCGATCTTCACAGGCTTCTACAGCATTATTGTTGGGTATTGTCGGACAGATGTTATTGTCTCCATTTTGCAGATGAGTAAACTGAAGTCCAGAAAAGTTAAGTGACCCAGTTAAGGTCACATAGCAAGTCAGTAGAGGAACCATAACTATAGCTTGAGGGCTTAATTCTATTGATGTATCCTGCATAAAATAACAGAGCTAGAGAAGAGTTTCCTTGCCAAACCTCCCATTCAATACAGCATCTCTGAAGACAGATCTCCCAATTTCTATTTGAGCACCCCCAGTTATAACAACCTCCTTGATTAGTGCAAAAATGCCTTCCACTGTTGTGAAATTCTGAAAGGCTTTTTATCCTGTCAGTATTTGTCTCCTTACAACAGACTATTGTTTCATCTAGAAGGACATAAATCTTCTCGCTTCTCCTTTCTGCAGTCACATACCACTTCCTCATAGCAGGGTTTTCTCCCATCACTTTCAGCTTAACATCTTTACCCTGCAAACTTCAATTATTCTTTATATTCCATGTGTTTTTAACCTATCTCCCTTCTTGTCTCTCTGGATGTGCCCCAACATGTTAATGCTTCCTTCCAAACAAAATTGAAACTTATCTCCAGTGACATGTTTGGAGCTGAGTACTCTCTCCCTCCTACGTGGAACTGTGACCATCCTTCCCTCTATTGATAGAAGTGAATCTAGCTGCAATCCCATTAACTATTGTCCCAATGCACTAATGTGAAGCAGGTGCCCTATGTCAAAGATTTTTCATTTGAATTGCTATCAAACTAAGTTACCTTTATCACATCTCTCCTCTGTACACACTCACTTCATCTCCTGCAGCATATGGTAACTTCAAAACATCTTTCAGCACAGGCAGAAATAGAATTCCCAACACTATCCATTTATCTGCATTTTCTCTGCAACACTGAGCAGTAAGCATGGCCTGAGCCTCTGATGATGTTCAAAGTAGTCCAAGGAGACAGAAGACAAAATGCCCACTGAGGAACAGGATGAATAATTCTCTCTGATGGAAGATAACTTTGTTCTATTAGATTCTCAACATGATGTGGCTTTGTTTCAGGGGCCAGTATCTGATCATTGCCTCCATGCTATATTGATGGTCCATCTACTCTTCCGGACTGAGAGGGATCTTAAGGACATCTTATCCAATCCCCTCAGTCTAATAGCAAGCTGAGGCCCAGAGAAAAGAAGGAACTTGCCCAATCAGTGCTAAAGGTGGGACTCAATCTCAGATCTCAGGGCTCCAAAGCTCTCTCCACTACATTTGAGTGTTAGAGATCATCTAGTCCAACGCTGCATTTATAGTTGGGCAAACTGGGGCACAAAGAGAAAAGGTTTTTCAGCTCAGGAGTGCTCACAGCAAGGACAACTCAGGTTTTGTTACCAATGTTTTTCATTGAAGAAAAAATAAAATATTATTTCCTGCATTTCTGTGCTGGATGAGGGCATCCAGTCCATATTACTGACAATAATGCCCGCATGGTTTAACTTCTTCCTTCAGTACTACAGGCATCTTGCAAGAAGAGCCAGATCTCATCTTGACCATTATATCACCTCTACATGTTTCCCAATAAAAATAGACACGCTTGATTCTCTAGGTCATGCTGGCCTCATTATATGAGACTACCAGGGAGTAGAAGTTCAAGTCAAAGTAGAAATGACAGGGAACTCCAAATGCATTCTCAGTCAGCAACTTCTGTCTGACCATCGATGACACTGGCCTAAGAATTCACTCCAGTCAGTCTCACACAGAAAGCCCAAAGATGAGTACTCTTTAAACAATTTCATCAATGAAAGCCCCCACAAGCACACTCAATTGTCAATATTCTGCAAATACTCAATTGCCAATATTCTTCAAGCAAAATTTTATTATCCATTCTCTGCAGGCAACACACTGTTACCAGCCCCCTATCATGAATGCCCATTTTTCTACCTGTTTTGTGCCTCTTGTGAGGATAATCTGTATCTCCAGGCAGAATTGCATCACTGTGCTTAGGAGTTAGCCATAGGATGCTGTTGAATGAAGCAAAGAAGGATGAGCAGGTGTCAGTAGGGAAAACTATATACAGGAGTGGCTTAGGGTGATAATCTTCCCAGGAACTCGTCTCAAACTACATTCTTCTTATCTGGATTGTGCATGGCTAGTATTTTTTAAACAGCAAATATTTTCTAAAAGATGCCTTCTTTCACATTTTTAAAGTTGAGGAAATATCTTCAATTATTCACATGGAAATAGTATTAATTTAATTTGACATGAGTTGAATAGGAATGGTGGGATTCCAAGAGATGGAAGCTCACCTCAACCTCCCTCACTGCCACCATCAGGTGCAGACCCCTAAAGCAATAAAAACAACTAACTAAATAAATAAATAAATAACCTAAGCCAGGTGGCCAGCCAGCCCAAGAATTTCCTGTGAAGGTTTGCAGTTCAGAACTCTTAGGCCAGCCTCCTGTACCACATGGAGGCATCGCAATGCCCCACACACAGCCAATAGGAGGTGATGCACAGATTCTAAGCAGGTGAGCATGTCTCAGAGAGCTTTGTCAGTTAAGCTCGGGTTAAACAAACCTGCCTACAGCCTGCAGCATGAAGGTTTTATTACCCAGGCAGCACCTCTAAAGAAGGATTAAGAGAACTCTATCATGGGGATGGCAGAATCTTAATTGAAATCCACGTTGCTGTATTTGCATCCCTAGAGAGAATCTGGGGCTTCGAGTTTCCCAAATAGTGAGTTGCTATCACTCTGAGAATTCAGCTCATCTAAACAGTTCTGCATGCAGGGATACTGCAAGCATATCTTTTTCCCCACCTGCTCCTCCTCCCATACCTAACTAGGGGTCAGGAGAGTGTGATCTCACATTAGCATAGAAGTTACAGCACATCCTCTCATTTGCTTCTGATTTTCAATTACACTGGTATAATGTACTTAAAATCTGTCTTTTATTTGGAAAGATAAACACAGCAGTTTTGTAATTTTATTGCTATGTCAATTTGCAAAGAAAATTCTGTTTAAACTCAGTGACTGGCCTACTGCCACCATCAGCCAATGGCAAGCTGCTGTCTACAGGGACAAAGAAGGTGCCAGCTGAGTCTCTTGGGTGGATGACGCAGCTGGCAGGAAATCTCTCTTTGTCTCTTCACCTGTCCCATGAGATACTCTGGGGGTTTTCTCAGTATCTAAAGCCCAGACTTAGAAAGATTGATTTTTTTTTTCTTATTTTTTCCAGCTGGTTTGCAGAGAGCCAATATTAATTAGATATCCGTGATGCATCTGGCACTAAGTATTTTTTACACACTAACTCATTTGATCCTCATAACCATCCCTTGAAAAGGCCATTATTATCCCCAATTTGATGATTGAAAAAATGGAAACAGAAAAATTAGGTGACATGAACAAACTCTTACATTGTGTGGTCTAGACACAACCCCACAGCTGTCTGTTCATAGCTGACATGTCTAATCATATTGCACACCGACTTTTACTCCATTCTCCTGGCCCACTCTAACCTACTTGGCACATAGTAGAAATTCAATAAATGTTTGTTAAAAATATAGATGATTTATTGGCCTCAAACTTGCTCCCAATGTTGGGCATATCCTGACACTTACCAGAGCACTGATTAAGCCCTAATTCAGATCACATACTTTAGACTAACCTTCCAAGTCAGGTTATGATATACTGGCCAGACGATTCCAGTCAGAGATGGACTCTTCCCCATCCTTATGCACAGCTTATTGGGTGACCCTGCCTAGCTAAAAACTTTCTTTCAGCTCCTAAAACTCACCACGTTCATTCCTCTCAAGGGCCTTGCAAATGCTTTGCCATCTGACTAAGCCATGTCCCTGCCCCCTCCACACAAGCAGCTTCTGTTTCTCTTTCCCATATCACCTCAGTCATCATTTCCTTGGGGATGCCATCTTGACCGTCTGGCCTGAGTCAGGTTTCTCTAGTAAATACTCTTACAGAGGCACACTCTTTCACAATGCTCATCTCTATCTATGATTGTTCAGAAACTTGTATGCTGCTTTGATTCAAGCCTGCCTCCCCTGCCAGCCCACAGTCCCAGGAGGGCAGGAAGTGGGTCTCTTTCAAGACAACAATGGATTCCCAGCATTCAGCACAGTGCTTGGCTTATATCAGCAAACATCTGTCAATGACTATCTAGACCATGTCCTCTTCACAGCCACTGGCTTTTCACCCTAACCATAAACTGGAAACTCATGGTCCAAAAGTTCTGAAATAAGCACAGTGGTACAATGAACGATAGGTAAGAAATTATGAAAGCCTCAGTCAACGCTGAGGATTTACTGATATCAAATGATCTTTCCAAATGAAAGAAAACCCATCAAGTTCAAAAATTCCAGAACTTTAGTTCATGCACAGATAAAACAAAAGGGATGCATTCATTGGTTGGCCGTATCTCTCCCATCTTTTACATTTCTTTCCAGTGTCAAAAGGACTTGGGTGGGTAAAGATATAATTATTCCTTGTGTAAAGGAAAATCCATTATATCAAGTTCTAAGGAATAGTTCAAGTTATTTTGTTCACAAAATTTTGTTGTGAAAGATATATGTTAGGTATCATTAAGCCATTCACTAGGGCTGGAAATAGATACGCTATACAGAAATTTTCACTGCAAGCAAATCTCTTGAAATAAGATTTAATGTGTGAATCATCTTGGGAGAAGATAAGCCAGTGGGAATGATTATGTAATGTTTACACTTGCATTGCTCAATTAATTATTTATTTCATTAAATATTTACTGGATGCCTGCTCTGTGCCTAGCACTAGGCTATGGCATTGAAAGGCAGTCCCTTTCTCAGCAAAGCACTCCAAATTCATTATATGCACTCTGTATAAGGAAAGGAAAAGAGAGTCGAAAGAAGTTTTATTGTTTACTTAAAAGTCACATGCACCAAACTAATGCCAGAGCTAGAAGCCTGGTTGCTCAGCAAGCCTTATCCAATTAACAGAGGCCTCAGGGAACTTGGGGTGGCATGAGGGTGAGTCTATGGCTGGGGATGGGCTTTAGGCTAAAGCCTGAGTCAGGGATCTCTGGCTGGAGTCAGAGGTCCACCTGGAGAGAACAGGACCTGGCTTATAAGGAAATCAAATTATCAGGTATTACAGGATAAAATAGAACACCAGAGAGAGAATAGGAGTTGCCACTGGTTCAGCAAAGAGAAACAATCTCTATGGTAGAAGGAGTACCAATTAGCAGCAAGAAATCTGAATTTTCATCCCATCTGGGTCACTGACCCTCTCAGAGATGGTACCCCTGTGGGCCACACTGTCCCCCATAGTAAAAGCAAGGGTTGGACTACAGAAGCGATTTTCAGCTTTGGCTGTATGTTGGAATCAACTGGAGAGCTTTAAAACACTGATGGCTTGGTCCCAACCCTAAAGATTCTGATGACATTTGTGGAGGGTAGGACCTCCAGCACTGCGAATTAAAAATCTCTCCAAGTAATTCTAATGTGCAGCCAAGGCTGAAAACCACTGGACAAGAAATTCTCTAGGGCTCCTTTCAGCCCCAATAATTCATCATTTCACAATGTAAGACAGTATTTCCCAAACTTTAATATGCATAAGAATCACTTGGGATCCCTGTTTTTAAAAATTCGTTTCCGAGATCCATCTCTAGAGATTTCATTGCAGTATATTTAAAATGGAGCCCAGGAGTCTGCATTTTAAAAACACCCCAGATCCTAGGAGGTCACTGTGAGACTCACTAATCTAAGGATTATTAGACATACAGGACTCCATTTCTCATCATCATCGTAATCACCAAACAGGCTTTCAGACCCAAAGCTCACAGCTAGGAGGGCTGTTATAAGGCAGACACATCCAATCACCAGAGTCAGGCTTAGCACTTGGCCTATCACAAGGCTGACAGATGGCAGAGGGAGGGTTCCTTGGTTTTCAGGAGAAAAAAAAACATGATGCTGCAGTATGCCACTGCAGAGGCAGAGACAGGCCGAAGATTGATAGTCCACAATGCTACTGAAATTCACCATCAACCAAGCATCTTGTGACATCAGCAGCGATGCCACTAGCCATTATCAAATCACCCAGGGTGCTCAAGATTGATTTCCAGCTGTAGCAATGACGCTCACCCTCTCTAGGTGCATAGGCAGGAAACAAGCTCCAAACCTGACTGTAATTTAGCATTCATTTGCATTTTTAAATTAGTTAGGCTGTGGACCGTTGCAAAGAAATGACAGAGAATTTTTATAATAATTAGCCTTGTGGGATGGGTTGGGGAGAGGGGGCAGGAATGGCTCTGCCTCACCATTTCACTGGAAGGAAAAACAAAATTCAGCATCTCAAGTCACCAGATCTGATTATGATTTCCCGGTCCTCACTGACCTTGTGGACCATGGCCGTGTCTCCAAAATCTCAGCTGAACACTCAGGTCTGTATACGTCCTTCTTTCCTGAGGCTAATTCCACTCTCCCCCTTTTCTCCCCTATACAGCCCGTTTAACATTTCCTTATGTTGGCTAGACGTCACTACATTCCCTTTTGTTCACTTTGTTTATGACTGAATTCAGCTCCACTCTGTACAAATACTCACTCAGTATGTGTCAACACCGTGATGCATCTGCTAAAAATAACACTGATAGAGCTCTTCACAGTTTGCAAATGACATTTTCATCTCCATTATCTCAAATGAGTCTGTCATCATTTGCTGGGGTTAACTAGGGTAGGAGTTATCCCATATTTTATAGATAAGAAAACTATAAAGAGGCTTGGGGAAATCTAGTGACTTGCCTAAGGTCATACAACTTGCAAATGGCTTTGCTAAGATCAGAATAAAATCTCTGACCTCTAAAATCTATACCAAGTTGCTTCAATCTCAGGATGCAATATAAAGGGTATAAGGATCACAATAGAGAAGGGCAATGTTCTACTTCATAGTTTAAATCATTTCAACAAACCATACAACATCACCAGCCCCACTTCCACTCTGAGCACCATGCTTGGAGAGGTATTTTGAGAAGGAAATTGGTAACTGGAAAGGCAAAAGAGATTTTTAAGCCTTGTCATTCAAGGAATAACAGAAACTAGGAATATTTAATCTGGAGGACATTTAGAAGATTGATAAAAGCTAACTTCACAAAAATAAAGGGCTTTCTTGGAAAAGGAACTGCATGCTTTTTCTGTGCAGCCACAAAGGAATTATAAAAAGGCAAATTTCAACTTGATGTGGATCAGTACTGTACAATGAGTAGGGGCTCTAGAGTCAAACGCCTAGGTTCAAAACTATCACTTCCAACTGAGTGATTTGGGGCAAGTTTATAATTTCTAATTCCAAAGATACTTGTCTATACAAAAGAAATAATTATGGCTACCTTATAGGATTATTGGTATCATCAAATGAACTAATGCAAACAAAGTCAATAAATGTTTAATAGATAATACATGTTCACTATATACTAATTAAGGTCATATCTATGGCATATACACCAAGGAAAGAGGTTTATACTCACTTACCCCAGAAAACCTAATAAGTAGATTTTGATCCTCCGTATATAGTTGAAGGATAGTTTCAAAACAGAGTAAAGAAAGAAGGAGCAACAAACTATTCTTCCCAGCCATAAGAGACCCTTGTAAACAGTTACCAGCCCATCAATGGTTTCTTTCACTCAAATGGTTTCTGGAAACCATATCAATAAGTCATGATGGGTTGAGGGACACATACCTCAAGCAGGAGAGAAACTGGATATACACTATCACTACTTTTATATAACATTGTATTTGTCCTAGCTAGTGTAATAAAGCAAGGAAATAAATAAAAAACATAAGGATAGAAAGATAAAGAAGCAAAACTGTCATTTAAATGGACAACATGACTGTATACTTATAAAATACAAAAGAATTGACAGATAAACTATTTGAATTAATAAGTAAACTAAACATGGTCATTAGAAATAAAGCCAATCTATAAAAATTAGTTGTATTTCCATATATTAGTAACACTATAAATTAGAAAAATTAAGTTTCAAGGAGTGTAGCATTAATAACAGCATTAAAAAACACTAAATTCCTAGGAATAAATGTGACAATAGATACAGAAAACTACAAACATCACTCACAAAAATGGAAGATAAGCTAAATAAATGAAGGTATATGTTCACATATTAGACATATTGGCATATAATAAATATGTCAATTCTTCCCAGGCCAATCTGCAAATTCTGTGTAATCCTTTTTGAAAGCACATCAGATTTTTTAAGACAAACTGACAACCTAATCCTAAAATGTATATGGGAATTTAAAGTGCCAAGGCCAGTGAAAGTAAAGAACAACAACATAGGCTACTATATTTAGAATCTATAATAAAGCTATGACAAATTTTATATATATATATAAAATATAGACATATGTATTTCTATACACACACTATATATTATGTATATATGTGCATACACATATGCACATACACATATGTACTACATATATACATATATATATACTATAATTTTTTTATCTTTTGTTTTTCCCAATGATATTTTATAGTTTTTCATGAAGTGGGTTACATGTCTTTTTTTACGTTTATTCCTCTGAATGTGGAAGTTTTGATGCTATTGTAAATGACATACTCTTTTAATACAGAGAGCAATTTCCTTGCCCAGTATTTATGCAAGAAAATAGCAAACTGATAAATAACAATGGTGACACATCAGTCCAGTATCATCCTGATACCAAAATCTGGTAAGGACACAGTAAAAAAAAAGAGACTACAAGCTGATATCCCTGATGAACATAGACACAAAAATCCTCAACATAATACAAGCAAACTAAATCTAGCACCACATCAAAAAGATAACAATTCATCATGATCAAGTAGGCTTAATTCCTGGGATGCAAGGATGGTTCAACATAAGCAAATCAATAAATGCAATTTATCCCATAAACAAAATTAAAACAAAAACCATACGATTGTTTCCATGGACACAGAAAAAGCATTTAATAAAATTCAACATCCCTTTATGATAAAAACTCTCAACAAACTAGGCACGGAAGGAACATACCTCAAAATAATAAGAGCCATATATGACAAACCAACAGCCAACATGACACTGAATGGAAAAAAAGTTAGAAACATTTCCCATAAAGACTAAAAGAAGACAAAGATGTCCACTCTTGCTACTTCTATTCAACATAGGAAATACTAGCCAGAGAAATCAAGCAAGAAAAAGAAATAAAAGGGATCTAAATAGGAAAAGAGAAAGTCAAATGATCTTTGTTCACTGATGACATGATTCTATACCTAGAAAACCCTAAAGATTCCTCCTAGGACTGATAAGTGACTTCAGTAAAGTTTCAAGATACAAAATCCATGTATAAAAATCAGTCGCATTTCTATACACCAATAACATTCAAGCTGAGATCCAAATCAAGAACACAATCTCATTTATCATGGCCACAAAAAAATAAAATACCTAAGAATACATTTAACCAAGGAGGTGAATGATAACTACAATGAGAACTACAACACACTAATGAAAGAAATAATAGATGACACCAACAAATGAAGAAGAATTCCATCCTCATGGATTTTAAGAACTGATATCTAAAATGACCACACTTCCCAAAGTATCTACAGATTGAATGTAATTCCTAGCAAATTACTAACATCAGTTTTTACAGAACTAGAAAAAAAATTCTAAAATTTACATGGAATCAAAGAGCCCAAATAGCCACAGCAATACTAAGCAAAAAAAAAAAAAAAATACACAGGCATCAGATTACCCAACTTCAAACTATGCTACAAGACTACAGTAACTGAAAAACCATGGTACTCATACAGAAATAGACGCATAGATCAAGGGAACAGAATAGAGAACCCAGAAATAAAACCACACATCTACTGATCTCTGACAAAGTAGACAAAAATAATCAATGGAGAAAGGACATGCTATTCAATAAACTTTGCTGGGAAAACTGGCTAGCCATATGAAGAAGAATGAGTGAAACTGGACCCTTATCTATCACCATATATAAATATTTACTCAAGATAGATTAAAGACTTAAATGTAATATCTCAAACTATTAAAATTCTATAAGAAAACCTAGGAAAATCTCTTCTGGACATTGATTCTGGCCAAGAATTTATGACTAAGACCTCAAAACAAATGTGACAAAACAAAAATCAACAAACGGGATTTAATTAAACTATAGAGCTTCTGCACAGCAAAAGAAACAATCAACAGAATGAACAGAAAACCTACAGAATGGGGAGAAAATATTTACAAACTATGCATCTGATGGAGGACTAATATCCAGAAACTATACGGCACATAAATCAACAAGAAAAAAAACAAACAGCCCCATTAAAATGTGGGAAAAAGACATGAAACAGACACTTCCCAAAAGAAGACATACAAGTGGCCAAGAAACATATTAAAAATGCTTATGATCACTAATCATCAGAGAAATGCAAATTAAAACCACAGTGAGATATCATCTCATACCAGCCAAAGTGGCTATTATGAAACAGTAAAAAAATAACATATTGGCAAGGATGCAGAGAAAAGGGAATGCTTATATACTCTTGGTGAGAATGTAAATTAGTTTAACCCCTATGGAAAATGGTACAGAGATTTCTGAAAGAGCTACAAATAAATCTATTATTTAACCCAGGAATCCCACTACTGGGTATCTACCTAAAGAAAAATAAATTGTTTTATCAAAAATATACCTGCCCTTGCATGTTTATCACAGCACTATTGACAATAGCAAAATTATGGAATCAATCTAGGGCTCATCAGTGGTGGACTGGATAAAGAAAATATGGTAGATACACACCATGGAATATGACATAGCCATAAAAAAGAAGGAAACCATGTCTCTTGCAGCAACATGAATGCAGCTGGAGGCCATTACCCTAAATGAATTGACATAGAAAGAGAAAATCAAATACCACATACTCTCACTAATAAGTGGGAGCTAAGCAATGAGTACACATGGACATAAATATGGAAATAATAGACACTGGGGACTCCAGAAGTGGGGGATGGAGGAAGAACAAGGGCTCAAAAACTACCTATTGGGTAATTGGGTACTATTGTTACAGTAGGTAGCTAGGCAGACAGGAGCAGGGCAGGAGATGGCCTCCACCGAGGAATGTCAGGTGACCATCAGGTGATGGTCAGGCAGTTATTCAACTGTCTCTCTAAAATGATCATCAGTTGTAGCCAGCCCCAGGGAAAGACAGTCTTCCAATAGATAGAAAATACCTGAAGCTAGTGATCAGCAGCTTCCCAATAAGGTTTCAAGAGTTGGGTGAGTGGGCTCAAGCATGCACACTAAGAGGCAAAATGGTAGAGTTTAACTGGTATATGACCTACCTCTGGGAATGCCTGACTGGTAAGGGAAAATCACCTCAAGTGAGCATGTGCACAACTTCAGTAAATACACTGTACATGCGGCCCCTCCCAAGTTCTGGCAGGCCACTGCTGATATGGACAGCCCACCCCAAGGGAAGTCTCAAGAGAGAAGAAACACAAACTCCAGAACCATGCCAATGTATAAAACCCCAAGTCAAGGTCTGGATGGGGCACTTGAATCTCTCAAGCCACCCACTTGGCCCTCTTCCAGGTGCACTTTGCTTCCTTTTGTTCCTGCTCTAAAACTGTTTAATAAACTCTCATTCCTGTTCTCGAACTTGCCTTGGCCTCTCCCTCTGCCTTAAACCTACTTCTACCCCTCAGCTGAATTCTTTCTCTGAGGAGGCAAGGATCAAGATCTATGCAGACCCATGCAGATTCACCCCTGGTAACATTATGTTCATTATTTAGGTGAAGGGTTCAATAGACACCCAAACTCCAATATTATATAAGATAACCACATAACATATCTGCACATATACCTCTTAAATCTAAAAAAAAATTAAAATTTAAGAAGGTATACGAATTAAATATCCATATGGGAAAAAACTTGACCTCCTACTTATAGTATATGTATATATTTATATACAAAATAATTTCCAGATTTAAAATCTAAAGGTAGGAAAAAAAGTTCATAGGAAAATTTGAGAATATCTTCATAATTTTGAAAATGACAAAAATTTCTTAAACAGGATCAAAAGTGCTAATCATAAAGAAAAAAATAAATTGGCCGGGCGCGGTGGCTCACGCCTGTAATCCCAGCACTTTGGGAGGCCGAGGCGGGCGGATCACGAGGTCAGGAGATCGAGACCATCCTGGCTAACACGGTGAAACCCCGTCTCTACTAAAAATACAAAAAATTAGCCGGGCGTAGTGGCGGGCGCCTGTAGTCCCAGCTACTCGGGAGGCTGAGGCAGGAGAATGGCGTGAACCCGGGAGGCGGAGCTTGCAGTGAGCAGAGATCCCGCCACTGCACTCCAGCCTGGGCGACAGAGCGAGACTCCGTCTCAAAAAAAAAAAAAAAAAAAAAAAAAAAGAAAAAAATAAATTGGATTGTTTAGAAACTTTTGTTTACCAAACTCTTCAGTGAAAAGGCAACCCATAGAATAAGAGACAATATGTATAATATGCCTATCTGAGAAAAGACTCAGAGCCAAAATATATTAAAGTTTTATACAAATAAATAAGAAACGACAATCGGAAAGGGAAGAAGGCAAAGACTTAAAAAAGCACATTACAAGAAGATATCCAAATGGCCAATATTTATGAAAAGGTGCTCTACCTCTTAGAGTTTAAGGAAATGCAGACTTAAACCACAACACGATTCTGTAATATATCTACCAGAATTGCTAAAAGAGAAAAAAGCACCACCAACCAGAACCCAAATGTTGGCCAGGATTTTGAATAGCAACTGGAATTCTCAAGCATTCCTGATAGGAGTATATATTAGTATAAATATATTGAAAAGCATTTTGGTAGTATTTACCCTATGACTCAACAATGACATACTTAGGTAATAACCCAATAGAAATGCATACATATGCTAATCAAGACACGTAAAAAGGTGTTTATGGCAGCATTGTTTATAATAGCCCCAAATTAGAAACTATCCAAATGCCTATCAACTATAGAATTAATAAACTGTGATATAATGAAACACAAAATGGAATACAGCACTGGGAATGAATACACAACAACTACATGTGATGATGTGGATGAATTTCACAAACCTATTGTTGAACAAAAGAAGCCAAACAAAAGAAATACTTACTTTGGTATTTATATTAAACTCAAAAAGAGCTACAGCTAATCTACAGTGTTAGAAATCAGGATAGAAATGAGCATGAGGAGGGCTTCTAGGGTACGGGTAATAAATATTGTTTCTTAATTTGGGTGTTATTAGGATACATACATTGTGAAAATTCATCAAGCTATACACTTAAAATATGTGTATTTTTCTATATGTGTGTTAGAATTCAATAAAAAAAGTACAAAAACTACCAAAAAGGTATGAAGTTGGGATTCTCTTTTGGTTGGGACATGAGGCACTTGAAGGGGAGCAGGAGCAGACAAGACAAGAAGGATTTATTGGGCCCAGACTGACAAGTACCTCAAATGCCAGGAACAGATGTTTGGACATATTTCTCTAAACCAGGATTTGGCAAATTTTTTAATATTAAGGACTAGATAGTAAATATTTTAGGCTTTGCAGGTCATGTATTCCCTGTTGCAACTACTCCACTCTGACTTTGTAGCATGAGAGCACCATTGCTAATATGTACATGAATGAGTGTGGCTGTATTCCTATAAAGTTTTATTTACAAAAACAGGAGGGCCAGACTGCCTGCCACTGCTCCAGTGAGAGCCATGGAGTATTTTTGAGCATTTAGTGAGGTAATCAAAGTTGTGCTTCAGGAAAACCATTCTGACAGCAAATTCAGAATAGAGTAAAAGGAGAGACCACCACATTCCACCAGAAAGACAAAACTGGGGCAGAAGATGATGAAGAAGCATTGATTGGGGAGGAGACAACGGGGAGTGTCAGTAACTTCTGGGTGCCTCTGCAGCTCCTGTCTCCCCATCGAGGATGGAAGGCATTAAATCTGCCCCACCCACTTACCCTGCCACACACAAACACACAGAGAAAGTCATGATTATTTGGTGGGTCAGAGTCCAGAAAACTGATTGAGCTGCTCTTTCTGGAGGTGGTGCTCTCAAAGAGACACACAGACTTGATACCACTTCCTGGAGGATCTCTCTCCAGCCATGTCCACATCTCTGGATGTCTTCTTTTTTTCTGGCAGAGTAGTCAGGCCTGAGCTTTATCCAGCCTGGAAGAGCTTGAAGAGACAGTGGGAGCAGGATGCTGTCTTTCCATTGATGTCTGCTTCTTTCTTTATCAGCAGGTGGAAGTTTTCATAGTGTTGAATGGGCAGGCACCTAAGTTTGGAGGGAAAGTAGGTCATTTGGACTTCTTTCACTTTCCTCCGGGCTGCCTCTGGCCTCAACAAGAGGACACAAACACCTGGCCCAGTTCATTCTTACTTTGGAGTTTAAGTTCAAAACCAGCTAATAGTGTAATTTTTACTTTTTTTTTATATTTTAAGTTCTAGAGTACATGTGCACAAAATGCAGATTTGTTACACATGTATACATGTGCCATGTTGGTGTGCTGCACCCGTTAACTCATTATTTACATTAGGCATATCTCCTAATGCTATCCCTCTCCCCTTCCTCCACCCCACAACAGGCCCTGGTGTGTGATGTTCCCCACCCTGTGTCCAAGTGTTCTCACTGTTCAATTCCCACCTATGAGTGAGAACATGTGGTGTTTGGTTTTCTGTCCTTGAGATAGTTTGCTCAGAATGATGGTTTCCAGTTTCATCCATGTCCCTACAAAGGACATGAACTCATCCTTTTTTATGGCTGAATAGTATTCCATGGTGTATATGTGCCACATTTTCTTAATCCAGTCTATCATTGATGGATATTTGGGTTGGTTCCAAGTCTTTGCTATTGTGAATAGTGCCACAATAAACATACATGTGCATGTGTCTTTATAGCAGCATGATTTATAATCCTTTGGGTATATACCCAATAATGGGATGGCTGGGTCAAATGGTATTTATTTTTACTTTTTTTTTAGGAAGCTTATCAAAAGAGAAATAACTGGGTGAAAGCAGGGTTTGTATACTCCTGGGTCCTCTGGCCTTACATCATCACATAAACCCTAACCCCTTTTCACTGCTGTCCAGTATCCCCTAGCTGCTATTACTCCACTTGCCAGGCAAGTCAGCCCTACAGGTGAGTAATAGGAAGAATAACCTGACCTAAACTACTGGACATTGGAGAAAATGGTTTAAGTATATACATTCCTCGATTTCATCTTGCCTCTCTTCTGGTATTCTTCCTGTCCTCCTACCTTTCCAGGCACAAATACACACATGCCATTGAATGAGTTACCATGAGAGCAGGAGAAAGGAGAGAGAACAAACCACTCCCAGCATGTGAAATTTTCATACCTTCTGAAAATGAAGAAGGAAAGACATGTGGCCTCCCACCCTGAGCCATTTTCCTACAGGCAGTTTCTTTCTAGCCCTCCACCCTCCAGGCAGATATATTCACCTTGTTAATAATTCCACCTGCATCAAAAAACATTACCTTCATGACCGGAAAGTAGCAGCATCATTACTGAAACCACAGCCTGCAGTCAGATGGATTTTCCCAAAGGCCCCCAAACCTTTCCATTTTATTACCATGTCACTCCTCATTTTAACAAATATTAATCATAAAGATACATTTTTCTTGGGCTATGTATTTAAGTGGCCTTTTCCAAGCACTTGGTAAAGGTTGGTTCAGGTGAGAAAGAAAAAGGAATGATTAAATTTGCAAAGTCGGATCTCTATCCTAATTTATTTATGCAAAAAGAAGGAATTTTCTGGCTTGTTGCAGATTTCAAAAACATGTTATGGACACATTCCTTTTGTGGTTAGGATGTGGTAAAGCATACTGGATAAGGGACTGGAGTTTAAATCACCCTAGTTTCAAGCGTGGCTCCACTACTTACTAGCTGTATGACCTTGGACAAATGAACTCAGTTTTCTGACCCTCAGTTTCCCCATCTCTAAAGTGGGAATACTTCCTCCCAAAATGGCTGTGGAGCACAAATAACGCTGAAGCCAGTGCCTGCCTCACAGTAAGTGCTCAATAGCTTTTAGCCAGTGTTTTTGTTCTTTTGCCTTGGTTAAACATGTCACACTAAAAGCCCCATCTCACTTTATTAAAACAAGGCCCACTCAAGCTATTCTCCTTCCTCTTTCCTGCTGCTTACAAAAAAAGGCCCAGTGATTGCTCTTATGCTTTTTTTTGTCTATTGTTTTTGTTTTGTTTCAAGATTCTCTGAAATCTGTAAAGGGAAAAGCAAATTGTTTTCTCTATTTCTTTTAGTGTTGAGTGAATTTCTCTCCCACTTTTTGCTATTTCAAAAGTAGAAGCCTTCTACTTTTGAAAGTAGAAAGGCTTTCTGGATAGAGAAGATAAAGTATTGATTAGGCTCAGAATATCCCTGGTAAAGAAGAAATTCAAAGTACGTGACTCTCTTGTGCAAAGGCCATGCTTCAGTGGAGCTTCGGAACTGTTGCTTGTATACTGGTCTGTGCTGTATAAATTCAATGTCACTCTCTCACACTAGCCCCCATCCCCTCTTCCGACCAGCAGCCTGAAACAGACCAGAAACCTGGTCTAGGGCACAGGTGTGGATTATATGCAGGAGAAAGAAATCTTGTTAGCTTTCAGGAGGATACAAGCTATTACTGTGGTCTTGTGGGTGCTGAGCTCAAAGCATTAAGTCCGCAAACATAAGGATGACAAGAGGTAAAACAGTACAAGGCTCAGTGTCAGGGGACCTAAATTTGAAACCCAGGTCTGCCACCAAATGACTGTGGGACAAAGACCAAGTCACACTCAATCTCTGCCCTCAGGTGTTTTAGTTATTAATGAAGACTTTAGATTGGATATCCTCTGGGGCCCCTCTTGGCTCCAAGATACCATGTCTACACTAGTAGATTCAATACTTGTATAAAAGCAAAAGTATATAGCCTTTGCTTTTCAGGAATTAATTAGTAAATGTAGTCATATTATGTTAAAAGGGAAGACCCTCATCCATGTTGGGAAACTTCCATCATATACTAGTCAGGTTCTTTGCCGGCAACAGACACTACTCCTAATTCTCTCATGAAAAAGAAGAGCTCAATGGGATGACACAGGGTAGTGTTTGGAACTGGAGGATGAGTGAGTTTTATGAATGTCATGGTCTTGTGAAGTCAGGAAAGGAGAGTCTGGAGTTCTCCATGGAAGGAATTCATGAACTGTCGTTTCTCAAACAGCCTTATGATAACCCTGTTCTAGCTTCTTGCTTTTCAACCTGACTACAGCAAGAGTGTTCCCATCATGCATCAAGCTTTAGAGGAGAGCATGGAAGGAGAACATGGCTGGTCTGGCTTGGGCCACCTGTCCTCTCCTGTGGTAAAGGAGTGAAGGGTCCTATGACTGGCAACCCCTCCAGAGACACATAGAGAGAAGGGCGGATCTCTAGAGGTTGACAAAAGGGAGTCCCTATGTAGCCTGATGACAGCTGAGGAAATTTACCTTCCACCAAGAAGGCATGGCCACTGAGAGTTTTGTCCTCTAGTTACCAGGAAAGGAAAAGTATCTGTCATGTTAAGCTTGAAACAGGTCATTACTGTTATGCTATGAGCAGGTTTTCTTGGATAGTTTTTCTAAGGAGAGCATCTACCCCAGGCCATGCCCTCTGTTTGGCCCTTGACTTTCAAACTTCTGAGAAACAGGCTTTACTAGCTTCTTTATTAGCAGAAACCAAGGCTCAGTGAGGCTGAGCTGTCCAACTCTACACAACAAGCATGAAGTAAGTGGGATGGGAACCCACATTTGGCTCCAAAGTCTGACCCTATTCACTGTATTCTGTGCTGATAGGGTAGGGGAGCCGAAATATTTTCCAGCCTCTGATAAAGAAAGACCTGGAATCCTGAGGGCTGGGATGCAAATTTTTGCCTGGGTCTTTCTCAGGCAGCAATACGCCTTCCAAAGAGGAGAACCTGTAGGCAGAGAAGGAATTTCAGAGAGGAGTGAGGAGATTTAAGCCCTCATCCTTTATGAAACACTGTTCATCCCTCTTTGGTTGCTTTCACCAATGCTCTGGAAGTTCATAGCCTTTGATAAATAAAAAGAAGATAACTATGATTTTTAAACTTTAAATTGTAGAGAGAGAGAAAATGCAATAATCTTTCACTCTTCTCCAGTGCTACTCTTTAAGGTTAATTTATGTTCCATAAAGGAACTAGATTGAATAAGAAAAAATAAATGTAAAACCGATCTCAAAAAGCTGTAAGTTATATATTCCTTCTCCTGAAAGGTAATTTCTATTTCTGCTTGATTCCTATGAGGTGAAGATGAATAACCCCAAGGTTTCCTTTTCTCAAAAAATGGTATTGAGCCTTCCACATGCAGCTTTTGATTGAATCTGTGATTTGTCTCTTGTTAACTTGAGCCCCAGAAAACACCACTGCAGTGACAGGCCTCTTGTGCTTTTCCAACTAGTAGACTAAAGAATCCAAATTTCCTCTTTCAGATAAAAAAAAAAAAAAACTTAAGACCACAGAGCACAAGTGATTTTTTTCAAAGTCACCATCAGGAATATAGGGCCTTATAATATTAAAACAAACACACACACACACAAACACACACACCCATGTATCTGCGTGTGTACATGTGTATTCCTCGGTTTAGAGTCTGACCCACTGGTACAGTGGCTGTGAGAACTTGTGAAGCCACATCCAGGCCCAGGAGGAACAACTTCTATGATTGATTGCTAATTTCTGCTATGGTCACAGACATGGGAGTGATAGAATATGTTTCTAAGGCTGGGTACACCTGTAACCCCAGCACTTTGAGGGGCTGAGGCAGGCAGATTAAGTTGAGGCCAGGAGCTCGAGACCAGCCTGGCCAACATGGCGAAACCCCATCTCTACTAAAAATACAAAAAAAATTAGCTGGGTGTGGTGGTGCACACCTGTAGTCTCAGCTACTTGGGAGGCTGAGGAATGAGAATCACTTGAGCCTGGGAGGTGGAGGTTGCAGTGAGCCAAGATTGCACCACTGCACTCCCACCTGGGCAACACAGCAAGCCTCTGCCTCAAAAAAAAAAAAGAGTATGTTTGTAGTATTTGTTAACTAATATAGCAAGATTCTGATTCAAAATATATAATATGAAAGTCTAAAATCTATTAAAGGGAGATGGGAGAGGAAATGGCAGAAAAGTAGATCTGTGGCACACTGTCACCAGACAAGACCTGTAACTGTCCCTTTTCCTACAGTAATAGCTTTCTTGCCTTATGATATGGTTTAACTGTGACCCCACCCAAAAATCTCATCTTGAATTTTAATCCCCATGTGTTGGAGAAGGGACCTCCTGGGAGGTGATTAGATCATGGGCGTGGTTCCCCCATGCTGTTCCCATGATGGTGAGTGAGTTCTCATGAGATCTGATGGTTTTATAAGGGGGTTTTCCCCACTTTGCTCTACATTTCTCTCTCCTGCCACCATGTGAAGAAGGATGTATTTGCTTCCCCTTCTGCCATGATTTTAAGTTTCCTGAGGCCTCCCCAGCCATGTGGAACTGTGAGTTAATTAAACCTCTTTCCTTTATAAATTACCTAGTCTCGGTTATTCATAGCAGCTGGAGAATGGACTAATACACCCTACCACTCCAATATTCCTGTCCTTTAAGTCCTTAGGGCTTTAAGGAACTTCTAAAATCCTGAGAGGAGAGTGATTGCTTAAGTTCTTTCTGTTAGCTGGACATTTATCCGTGCACACCTTAATTATCAGCTAGCACCTTAATTAGCCGCTAACACAGTGGTTCTCAAACTCTGCTGCATGCTACAATCACCTGGGGAACTTTTAGCTCTCTCAATACTCAGGCTACATCCTAATTAAATCAGAATGGCTGGGGAATGGAGTCAGGCATGGCCACTTTTTAAAGATCCTCAGGCGATTTCAACGTACAGCTAAGTTTGGGAACCATTGATTTAAGATCTAAACAAGCAGTAGAGATGCTGCCCAGAAATCCAGAAGTAACAAATGGGTGGCAGCACTAGAACCAAAGTTCTGGTTTGTACTCTGGTACCCAATTCTGGAGGAGTCAATGAAACGCCCTCATCTGAATACCTCTAAAGATTCCTAAGCACATATGTAAGAAAGCTGCACTTGTGTAGTAAAAAGTCAGTGGCTTAAAAGACATGGGAGAGACTTCAATTATAAACAGATGTACACAGATTTAGATAGACTCATGAATGACAAGTGAGCTTGTTATTAGAATCATGAAATGTCAAAGCTAGGACAAGTGCAAGATAGCATCAAATCCAACCCATTCATTGTATAAATGAGGAAACTAGAACCCAGAGAGAGAAAAGCACTTATGACCACTCACTAAATTAATGGTGGCTCCAGAACTTTATACAAGGTCTTCACATCCATGTCCCACTATTGATTTCACTGTTCCACATTGTCACTCTGCTTTTTCTTTAGGACCTAACATGTCCAAAACGGAACCAGTTATTCCCATACCCCAAACCCAGCCTTCTTCAACTACCAAGGGCCTTGCCCAAACTTGTGGTGGTCATCATTGATTTATCCATGCCCGTTCCTCCCTACAGTCAACCCATCAGCAAGTCCTTTAGTGTCTACCTCAAAATATACCATCCACCTGTCCACATCTTACCATATATATTGTCATCATTCCTATTCAAAGCCACTCAACTCTTGCTTGAATCATTGTTATAGCCTCTTAACTGGGCTCCTGGCTTTCCTCTCTGTTCCCATGCTCCACACAGGAGCTCCATTCGTATCCTTAAAACACAAATCAGATTATGGAGCTCCCTTTGCTTAGAAAATATTTCAAAGGATTCCTGTTGCACTTAAAAGTCAAACTACTTCCTGGGCCTATAGGTGCTGAATGGTTTGGGCTATGTCTCTCTCACACCTCAGCTAAGAACACTCCCCACCTACTAAGCTTCAGTAACAACTATTTTCCTTCCATTCTTAAAACCTTCTGAATTCTCTCCAGCACCAGCTCTTCTGCCCATGATGTTTCCTGCCTGAAATGCTGCCCTTTCCCTACCCCGACTCCTTTTGCTTTGGCTGGCTCTTTCCCAGTCTTCAGAACTCAGGTTAAACAGCTCTTCTCTTTCACTGAGGGCCCTAAGTTAGGTCTCTATTAAGCCTCATTTTGGCTCCACCTTAGCTCCTTTCTAACATTTAATAACACCTGTAATTATTTCATGTATGTATTTGTTTTTAATTATTCTCTTCTACTAGAATATGAGCTCCACAAAGGCAGGGGAAAAAATCGTTTATTTGTTGTTATATTTATTCCTTGCATCTAAGAGAATATCTGTTCATTGGAGAAAGGAAGGAGGAAAAAGAAGGGAAGGGGAGGGGGAGAGGGAGGAGGAGGAGAGGGGGAGAGGGAGGGAAGGGGAGGAGAAGGGGAGGGGGAAGGGGAGGGGAAGGGGAGGAGAAAGGGAGGGGAGGGAAGAGGAAAGGGAGAGAAGGAAAGGGGGAGGGAAGCAGAGGGGAGGAGAGGGAAATGACATTATCATGACTTAAGTTGTCTTCTTGGAATCTTCCAGACAGTGCTGGATAAATGGCCAAACTAGAACTAGAACCCAGGTCTCCTGATAGCAGCACTAATGTTCTTTACTCATATTATGCCACTGCTTAAATGAATTAAGGACAGTTTGGACACTCAGAATCTCTTGGTGCCCCCAAGGAGGTAGACACCTGGCATGACAAAATTCTAACTTTATTTATTTATTTAGAGATACAATTTCACTCTGTCACCCAGGGTGGAGTGCAGTGGCATGATCTTGGCTCACTGCAACCTCTGCCTCCTGGGTTCAAGCGATTCTCATGCCTCAGCCTCCTGAGTAGCTGGGATTACAGGTGTGTGCCACCACACCCAGCTAATTTTTTCTTTTTTTTGTATTAGTAGAGACAGGGTTTTGCCATGTTAGACGGGCTGGCCTCGAACTCCTGACCTCAACTGATCTGCCCACCTCAGCCTCCCAAAGTTCCAGGATTACAGGCGTGAGCCACTGCACCCAGCCACAACTCTTAACTTTTTAAATGAAAGTGGCTATGAAGCGTTTTAGCAGCTCTGACTAGAGCTTTGGCTACAGCATGCAATAAACGCAGAAGTACTTGCTCTTTCAGTTCTGGCTCTGCCATTTCTTGTGTGATCTCCCTGAGCCTCAAGTTCCCCATCTGTCAAATGGGGATAATAAGCCCATACTGGCTATCATTAGAATAACAGTGAAGGATAAATGAGATCTTGAGTAAAAAGATTTGGAGACCTCACAGTATTGTCTGCATCCATCAGAACAATTGCTAGTGTTGCTAATACTATCAGCTTTACGATTTACCAAACATTCTGTTCTCTTCTCCTAGCCCCAGCATTTCTTCTTTGTGTATTAATAATGATTATGATGGGAATAAAGAGGAGGAGGAAGAAGGAGGAGGAAAAGGGGAGGGGCCTTTGGTCAGGGAGGAGAAGGGGGAAGGATGGTCACCACTTACTGGTTACCTTCTACATACCAGACTCTTTATAGGTAATAATTCTAATCTTCACCAACTCCCTATGAGGTATTACAATTCCCATTTTATAGGTGAGAAAAACCAAAGCTCAGAGGTAGGTTAAGTAAACTTCCTCACACACACAGTAAGTAAATAGCAAGCTGGGATTCAGATGCAAGTCCACATAACTCCAAAGCCCCTGTTTTTTTGACTATGCCATGCTATCTTCCTGGATTAATGGGAAAAGTATCTGGGCAGGAGTAAAAGGTAAAATCAAGCCACGTCAATACTCAGGCTGCAGCTACACTTATGACTGGCTACTGATTGTTGAATTTACCACCGAAGTGGCTATAAAAAATCATTTTAGACAAAGAACAGTGGGAGAAGTGATCATGTTTGCAAATGGTCCACCGATCTGGCCATGTTTATACAAACTTTTTTTTTCACTGTGGTAAAATACACACAACAGAAAATTTACCACTTTAACCATTTTAAAGTGTACAATTACATGACATTAGTACATTTACAATGTTGTGCAATCATCACCACTACCTAGTTCTAAAATTTTCAACACCTCAAAAAGAGACCCCATAGTATCCACTAATCAGTTATTTCTCAGCATCCCCACCCCACCCCCAGGCAACCACTAATCTTCTGTCTCTATGAATTTATGCAAGCTCTCTTAGTTCCTTCTTGTTTAATGTACTAGGATAAGACCCCTGAAGGATTGCTGTTTCAGAAAGCAGCAGCTCCCTTGCTGCTCAAGGTTCTGCTATAACATGTTCACCTGGCTCCCCAGGGGACCACCTGCTAAATATCTAACTTAAGGGCATGAGAGCTGGTGAAGAGTCAGTTCCTTCCCTCAAGCTAGCCATTATGACAGCAATTGAAGATACCTAAGAACATCAACGCCCATTAGAAGCTGTCCAGATCTCTGTGGACAAGCCAGAATTTCAGGAACAAAGGTGGGCAGGACCGCGGGGGAACAGTGGGACAAGCAAAGACTTTGCAGTTAGAGCTGAAGTTATGTCTTGAAACGTCCATAAGTTAGTTATGTGACTTTAACCAAGTCACTCTAGCTTCCTGAGCCTCTGTTTGCAAAACTATATAAACTGATACGGTAAAACTTAACTGGTGAGGGCTTGGGGGGAAGTTAAAGGGAGATTAAACGAGGCACTTAACATGTGTTTACTTTTACTTTAATTCTTGGATATCTGTCAATTCAGCAAGCAGTTATATCTACTGCACGTGATCTGAAAATCAAAACAAATGATAAAGACCTGTCTTTATCATGTGGAAAAACAGGCATTACATTGCTTCTACTGAAATGAAAAACAAATTTAGTAAGTTTTAGGTCAAATCTTCGTTTCATTCCTCTCTGTGGTCACAGGTCCAGGGTCTGAAACCAGGTTCCCCTGACCAGCACTTAACTCCTTAAAGGCTTCCATTTACCTTTCTTTATATTGGAGAAAATTATATTAAACATTAGCATTGCTATTATTACCACTTTCAATCTACACTATTTTATGTGGTGGAGAAAATAAATTATTAAAAAGAAACCATGATGTAGTCACTGTTCTGGGTTTAGTTCAAGTTATTTTTTACGTGCTAGGCACCGTTCTGGGTACCGAGGTGAAAAGATCAATAAAACAAGAATAATGTAAGCAGACAGTCTTGATTCCAAATCCCCTCTACACTAACCAAGTGACTTTGAACAAGAGTTATTTCATCAAGCTCGATTTGCTCCTCTATATAATAGAGATAATAATAGTACTAACTTCACAGGTTATTTTGAGGATGACGTGAGATCATCTATATAAAGTATTTGGCACAGTGCACCAAGTAAGTACTCAATTAATGTGGGCTATTAAAATTATAGCATAATTGTTAATAAGAAGCAAAGACAATAATATACAAAGATGAGCTCTGTTGGACAAAAATCTCTGGGAACCTGAGTTCAGGATCATATTCTGGAGGAGGTGATATCTTCTAGGATGAATATAAATTAGAGAGATGGAGAGGGAAGGTCATTCCAAGAGCAGTGAACAGCATAAGCAGATCAAGGAGGGCACAGAGCAGTGACCTGAGTGACAGGAGCGATAAGCAGTGTGGAGTGTGGGAGTGAGAGGTAGGGAAAGTGGAACCAGATGAGGGTGGGCTCTGGACTCCAGGGCCCACACTAAGATTTGGCTGATATCCTGAGGGCAATGAGGGACCACTAAAAGGTTTTAAGGAGGGGAGCAACATGCTCTGCTCTGCATTTTAGAAAGATCCCTCTGGCAGTTGCACGCAGGGTGAATTTAAGAACAAGAATTCAGGAAGCAGGGAGAACAATTAGGAAGCTGTGGGAATAGTTCAGATGAGAGGTGATGGCAAACTGAACTAAGGCAATGGTAGCAGAGACAAAGAGGGAAAATACTATAATGAAAATATTTAAAGGTGATTCTAAAAGATGTGGAGACTGATTGGATTAGACGTTGAGGAAGAGGTTGCCTGGAGGTTTCTGACCAGGTGTCTAAATGTACCGTGGGGCCCTTCACTTTAAAAGGAAACATTAGAGGTGGAGAAGGTTTCAGGAGAGAACAAAGATTTCCCTTTGTCATATAAGAGGTTTCACATGTTGGGGGTGACTGACGCTGAGCTATGTCATTCAGATTCCCCATCAGGAATGACGTCCTCCACTATTCGTTCATTTAGAGCAGGGGTCCCCAACCCCCAGGCCACAGACCAGTACCAGTCCATGGCCTGTTAGGAACTGGTGCACAGGGGAGGTGAGTGACGGGCAAGCAAGTGTTACTGCCTGAGCTCATGCAAGGGATCTAGTGCTCCTTATGAGAATCTAACTAACGCCTTATGATCTGAGGTGGAACAGTTTTATCCTGAAACCATCTCCCCCCACTTCTCCCCTCCTCCCCGCAGAACAGTGGAAAAAACTGTCTTCCACAAAACCCATCCTGGGTGCCAAAAACGTTGGGGGCTGCTGGAGAGAATTGTCTCAGCTGAAGAAGTGTGTCTCACTGCCATCCAGTGACTCGGAGGATAAAGGATCCCTCATTCAGGCCAACTCAGAGCAGCTCTGAGGGGTCAGTTCAGCTGCACAGTTCCTGGGGCGTCTGCATCTCCCTTTGCCCCACCTACTTTTGTTTCTTTCCTTTCCCAGATGTGGATCCTGAGAGCTTTCATGCCTAAATAAGCCTGACTGCTAATCTCCCCCACAGAGTCTGCTGCCTGAGCAACACAACCTGTGACACAGCCAGCAGCTGTGGGAAGAGTGTAAGATAAGGAGAACTGTTTCTAACAGGTAGGAGACTGAGGATCAGTTGGGAAATTGGGCTCAAGGGCAGCTAGGTAAAGATGGCTTGGAATGAGCATCCTCATACACTCTATGTGGCAACCTCCTTCCTCTTTGCTGTACCTTTAAGCAGGAGTCTCAAGCATGGCTGCACTTGAAAACCAGCCAAGGAGATTTTAAGTACTGTAAACTAAAAATAAAATCCTAAGCCCCCTACCTGACTGAACAGACACCCTCTTGGCCGAGGGGACCCCAGAAAAGAAAACTTAAAATTGGAGTTTCTAGCCATGATGGGACAGGAGGTCAAATACATCTCATTATATCCCTTCCGTTTTGTAGATTAACATTAATGTTAAAATAGAGATCGTAAGACTGACTGAATGAACTCTTTATGGTAATAAAGTATGGAATTATAAACAAGGCCTAAAGCCATACCAGACAAGGATTTCATCATTCACCTCTACAGTTAAAAATAATTAACTATGTCAAATGGTATTTCTAGTTCTAGATCCCTGAGGAATCGCCACACTTACTTCCACAATGGTTGAACTAGTTTACAGTCCCACCAACAGTGTAAAAGTGTTCCTATTTCTCCACATCCTCTCCAGCACCTGTTGTTTCCTGACTTTTTAATGATTGCCATTCTAACTGGTGTGAGATGGTATCTCATTGTGGTTTTGATTTGCGTTTCTCTGATGGCCAGTGATGATGAGCATTTTTTCATGTGTCTTTTGGCTGCATAAATGTCTTCTTTTGAGAAGTGTCTGTTCATGTCCTTTGCCCACTTTTTGATGCGGTTGTTTGTTTTTTTCTTGTAAATTTGTTTGAGTTCATTGTAGATTCTGGATATTAGCCCTTTGTCAGATGAGTAGTTTGCAAAAATTTTCTCCCATTTTGTAGGTTGCCTGTTCACTCTGATGGTAGTTTCTTTTGCTGTGCAGAAGCTCTTTAGTCTAATTAGATCCCATTAGTCAATTTTGGCTTTTGTTGCCATTGCTTTTTGTGTTTTAGACATGAAGTCCTTGCCCATGCCTATGTGCTGAATGGTAATGCCTAGGTTTTCTTCTAGGGTTTTTATGGTTTTAGATCTAACGTTTAAGTCTTTAATCCATCTTGAATTAATTTTTGTATAAGGTGTAAGGAAGGGATCCAGTTTCAGCTTTCTACATATGGCTAGCCAGTTTTCCCAGCACCATTTATTAAACAGGGAATCCTTTCCCCATTGCTTGTTTTTGTCAGGTTTGTCAAAGATCAGATAGTTGTAGATATGTGGTTTTATTTCTGAGGGCTCTGTTCTGTTCCATTGATCTATATCTCTGTTTTGGTACCAGTACCATGCTGTTTTGGTTACTGTAGCCTTGTAGTATAGTTTGAAGTCAGGTAGCGTGATGCCTCCAGCTTTGTTCTTTTGGCTTAGGATTGACTTGGTGATGTGGGCTCTTTTTTGGTTCCATATGAACTTTAAAGTAGTTTTTTCCAATTTGACCCAGCCATCCCATTACTGGGTATATACCCAAAGGACTATAAATCATGCTGCTATAAAGACACATGCACACGTATGTTTATTGTGGCACTATTCACAATAGCAAAGACTTGGAACCAACCCAAATGTCCAACAATGATAGATTGGATTAAGAAAATGTGGCACATATACACCATGGAATACTATGCAGCCATAAAAAATGATGAGTTCATGTCCTTTGTAGGGACATGGATGAAATTGGAAATCATCATTCTCAGTAAACTATCGCAAGGACAAAAAACCAAAAACCACATGTTCTCACTCATAGATGGGAATTGAACAATGAGAACACATGGACACAGGAAGGGGAACATCACACTCTGGGGACTGTTGTGGGGTGGGGGGAGGGGGGAGGGATAGCATTAGGAGATATATCTAATGCTAAATGACGAGTTAATGGGTGCAGCACACCAGTATGGCACATGTATACATATATAACTAACCTGCACATTGTGCACATGTACCCTAAAACTTAAAGTAAAATAATAATTAAAAAAAAGAATAAACTATGTTCTAACTGCCACAAGGCTTTTTTTCTTACTCTAGCAACCAAACAAGCAATGGCCTCCCAATAAGCAATATTAAAACAATTGTCGCTCACTGCCAGATGCTGACTACCTGCCCCTCCTGTTCCACAAGCCATAGCCATATCTTTGATTGTAAATGAGACTGATTTCAGTAACTTCCTCCTGATAAGAAGGCCACTCACTGACATGGACTGGTTCTGGCCATTTTATAGAGGCTGTGTCCCTAAGTGCCCTCAGGTCCCTCCTTCACCTTTTGACATATAGGGCCTCATTGTAATACATTTAAATGTTATGTCTCTACTGCAAGGTGACAACATGGGTCATATGTAACATGTATATTTGGTTATTACACATGCATGGCCCTGCTCATGAATATTCATAGCTCTTCCTATAACCTGTTGAATATGTATACATGGTCAACTCACTCAGCATGAATCCCTGTTGTTCTACCCACCCCTCCCTCAAAGTGCCTGCCTTTTGGGCTTCTGCAGGAGGCTATACTTCCCAACCTGTCAGAATGGCCACCTTGCAAGCTGTAACCCTATATAAGAAAGTCTACTCTCCTTTCTAAATTTATAAATTTTGTGATTTTTGAGTTAACAATACTAATATCTGAAACCCAGCACCAGAGATTCTGATTCAGTGGCTCTGGGATGGGGCCCTGGTAATGTATTAGAATCCCCTTGGTTGCAAGGGACAATTCAAATCAATCTTAGTAACTAGAAAAGTGTGTTGGGAGAATAATTTATAAGGACAAGGACAATAGGGTGGCTCATTGGGGGTAAGAATAAAATGCAGTTAAGGCTAAGAAATGTTGGAACCAAATACTTAAGTGCCATCAGAAGTCACATTCTCTTCCTTTTTTCTTCTGTTCCCTGTGTGCCTGCTCTAGTTCTCTCTTGCTCCTTCCTTAAAGCATCATAGCATTTATGGTTAAAGACGAAAATGACCACTGCTATAATTTGAATGTGTCTCCCAAAAAGCAGGTGTTGGAGACTTAATCCCCAGAGCAACAGTGTTGGAAGGTAGGGCCTAATGAGAGGTGATTAGATCACAAGGGTGCTTCCCTCATGAATAGATTAATGCCATTAATGTGGGAGTCGTTTTGTTATTACAGCAATGGGTTCCTTATAAAAGAAGGAGTTCACCTGCTCTCACTCTCTCTCCCCTCCTCTCTTTGCCCTTCTGCCACAGGATGGCACGGCGAGAAGGCTCTCTCACCAGATGCCAGCCCCTCAGCCTTGGACTTCCTAACCACCAGAACTGTGAGTCAATAAACTTTTAAATTACCCATTCTCAGATATTCTGTTATAGCAGCACACAATGAATGAAGACAACCACCAACAGCTTTAAAGCTTTATGTATCTTATCAATATAGACACCCCAAGATAATCTAGCTTCTATTTTCTAAGACTACAATGACAATCCCCAGGAGATACCCTGATTAGCTCTGCTTTGGTCAGGTGCCTGTCTGCCCCTGAATCAATCAATCGTCTTAGGGATGAGGTCACAGTAGAATATAGTTAACTAATCCTTCTGCAGTGGTTTTGACTGGAGCAAGGAGTAATGCCTTGCAAAGGGATGCTGAGCAGAAAATTACAAAGCTGTCCACTGCATCACCTCACACCATCCCTTCATGCCTACTTCCATATTGCTAATTCTTATGGAATTAATTTGACATTGTCCTTACTGGTGGCTTCACATTTGTTTTTGACGTTGAAAAGGCTAACGATGAGATAAAGCCAACTGGGATCAAGAATGTAAAATCAGAGAAGTCTATGATATTACAGAGAGAGAGGAAAAGGCTCCTAGATAGCCCCTCACTCAACCTCTGTCATTCTTCCTTTCATTTTGAAAAGCCTTTTGAGGAGCAAAGAGGCTCAGGATTTTTCAAGGGTCACATAATGAGTTTGTATCTGAGTTCAAACTAGTACCCATTTTTTCAGACTCTCAGTGTAGTTATTTTCTTTATAAAGAAATAAAAAGCTTGAAGCAATTACCAAGTATAAATAATTCAAAAATTAAGGTAAAAACACCTCTGAGATAAAGTAAATCAATGGAAAAATGGAATTCAATTTGTACAAGTTTGATTTTTATGCCATTTTTCTCGATGTGTACTTATTCCATAAATCAAGGCCAACCCACAACACTCACACCATGTCTAATGCTCATATAAATCCAAGGTGTCTACCATGACAAGTCATCATAAGACAAATATATTGTTTTTATCCTTAAATGAAAGCAATAGGAGGTTTAGTATTTGTCAAACAGATCCCTAATTAACAGGCCAATTGCTTGGGGCTTTAAGAAGGATTATCAGAGGAGGATTATGGAGGCAGCATAGGCAGGGAGAAAGCTCATTGACTAGTGCTATGGTTTGAATGTGTTCTCCAATTGTGTTTATGCTTAATCCCCAACTCCACAGTGCTGGGAGGTGGGGCCCAGTGGGAGGCTCCACCTTTATAAATGATGTAATGTGATTATAAAAGGGCTTGAGGCTGCGAGTTTAGTCTCTCTCGAACATGCACGCTCTCTTGCCCTTACACCTTTTTCCATGAGATGACACAGAAAGAAGACCCTCATCCAATATAACTCCTTGATCTTAAACTTCCAAGCTCTGGAACTGCCAGCCAAATAAATTTCTGTCTATTATAAATTACCCAGTTCAGGTATTCTTTCATTGCAGCACAAAATAAACTAAGATAACTAGAAAGTGGGAGACGTGAATTCTAGTCCAACTGTATCCCTGATTCTGATCCACTAAGCAAGTCATTTTCTTCCTCTGGACCCCAATTACCTTATCTATAAAATGGGGAGTTTGAACTAGAAATGCACTTCTCTAACTTTAGCTATGCAATCTCATCACTGCTCCAATAACTGCATGCCAGCTGTGTCATCATTTTTTAATACTCTTTCCTTACATCAACTCACTTTTTAAACTTAAATTTTACCAAGAAACATTTATATCACTATTATAATGGAAAAGCAGCATCACTTAGATTAATTGAAGATCACTATATAAGCACATATGCAATTATGTGAGATTATGAATATGTTAATTTACTTGACTATAGTAATCACCTCGTTATGTATATCAAGATGTGTTGTAGACCTTATATACAATAAAAATAAATAAATGGTCACCTGGGTTCAACAACAACAAAATCTTCATTACCACCAGTAGTGTGTATGTTCCATGTTGGGGAACCCTGAGCTAAACAATGTCTAGCGGTTTCCAGCCCCAACTGATGATGGCTCTTAGGAACAGGCAGAGGTCCAGTGAGGCAGAAGTCAAGGGATGTCACACTGTAAGAGAATCATCTGAAGCCTTCAATTCCACGTTGCTGGGCCTAGTTCTCTGCTGTGTTCACTCTTCCACTACTGCAACCCACAGTCCTGGCCTAGGTTTGCCTCCTTGTCTTTTCATGGGCACCTCAATTCAAACCCAGCTGTCAGATCGACTCTGAGAAGAACTAACCTGATAGCAGCTTCTTGTTTTGTCCAGTTCAGGAAATTCTGGGTTTTAATAGAGGACAGTGCCTTCACATATCCACATATACACTAAGTTTTTAATGTCAGCATTGAAACTTCAGACAGCTCTAACAAAGGGCATGGAAAAAACCCTTTGCAAGGGACTTCTCAAGTTTTAGCTATGTCTCTCTCATTTTATCATCTACCACATCCATCTGTTACTATTCTTTCACTCTGTCCTTCTTCCCTATTAACTTATTATTTATTTCTCTGTTCCTTTTTCTTTCTCTCTTCTATTTCATTTTCTCTCTCCCAACAACATTCGACATTGACATGGCAAGTATTTACTCGGTGCCTTCTCCATGCAGGCACTGTGCTGGTCTACCACACTGCCAGTCCCTCACCTTTCTTCATCACCCATTCATCTATCTATGAAGTCTCACCCAGCCTACCTAACATTCATCCACCCAGTATTGACTCAGCACTCACTTTTCCACCTCTGCTTACTTCTTTTCCATCCTTTTCTTCTGGCTCTTGTCAATTGCTGATGGATCAGGCACAAAATCCCTCAGAGCAGCTGAGGCAGGGAAGAAGAATGGGGGGCCAGCAATACTCATGGCAAATGTTCCAGATTGGGCTGGAGTTTGGATGAGTATCTGGACTACAAAGAGATCATCATCAGTACAGTTCCAGTGGAGGAGTTGCCAGCCTGGGAATGGGGGTGGGAGGTGGTACCTCTCAGATGGGCAATAGAACCATCAGCTCCTTGCCCCAGGCAGTGGCAGGTAGACATGCAGATTCCAGCCCAATTTCTGGTGCAGACCACAGGCCTGATCACACATCTCAGCTCTAGATGTCTCCAGACTTTGCAGAAGCTAAAGAATGTGTTCCATGTAGACTCTAGTGGTGGAATCATGGGCGAGGAAAGTTGAAAGAGCTTGGAGAACTGAGCCACTCTGCACCATCCCTTTATAGATGAAATAAACTAGGGTAGGATGAAGAAAGTGTATTGTTTACCCCAGTCACAGAGAAGTTAGTGGCTGAAAGGGATCAGAACCCAGGTTACTGAACAACTAGCCTCTATGCTTCTATTCCTCAAGCTTTTCTACCTATCCTTCCTCTTCCCTAAAAGCTCCTTTGAATGAATTAAATGGTAGATGTTTGTACTTTCTGCAAAGACAGAGTCTGATTAAATATATAAGGTGGTAGATATCACAAGTACACTTATTTGATCTCTACAAATTATATGAATGTATCAAATGGTCACATGTACCCAGAAACTATGCTCATCTATTATACATCAATTAAAAAACCTGTTTTAAAAAACAAAAATGAATATGATCATGCTGCTCCATTTTCCCCATTGTCTGAACTAGATGCCCGGTCAAGTCAGTGCAATAGTAACGAAAACAAACAAACAAACAATGATTTATTGTTTACCATAAGTACTCTGGTAGGTACTTTACATGTATTATCTCATTTAAACCTCACAGCAATCCTCTGGTGTGGGTATTATTATCCTCAATTTACAGATGAAAAAATGAGGCTTGCAGAGATTACATAAGGCCATACATTTAGCAATTGCTAGGACCAAACTGAGCAGCAGCTCATATTCTTTACAACATGTCATGGGGAATGGTGGTGGGGAGCTGCTAACTCAAATGCAGACAGTTAGGCTGATGTGTTATGATTGTACATCTCTAAGCAGCTTCTAGATAGATGCCTGGCAGACCACAGTTTCTTAGTGCAAATGCTTTTCTAATGGGCCTGCAATAGGGGTCCTGCAGTATATGGCAGCAACCCCTTTGTTTGTAGGTACTAAAGATGAGAAAGAAGAATGAAAGAGTTGCTACTTCTGGAAGCTTCCAGCTTCATGATAGCTGGGATCCACTTCATCCTGTATATTTCTCCCCACTCCTTAACACATTACATGACACATAGTAGGTACTTAGTAAGTATGCATTGAATGAACAAATGATCCCTTAGAAAAGAATCAGTTCCTAAAGGTACCCTTCTATCAGGCTAATCAACCCAGAAATTCTAGTTACCAGAAGCTTCAGCATATTATTACTACATTCACAAAAGGTGCCCAATAATCATTTATATTTGCACAGCATTTAACAAGATGCTTCACATTCATTATCCTTCTTCTCCTCACTGTATTGATGGGTTCTTAAGATCAGGTGCCACGTCCATTTTTTCTCTGTGTCCCTGCTTCCCCCATGGCACTAGACTGGTGACTGACATTCATTCAGAACCCCTACATGCCAGGTACTGTGCCCGGTGCTGGGGTTATAGTGGTGAGCTAATGTGCACAATAGACACACATAAAATAACCAACCAAATAAATTGTGCCTAGCACTAGGAAGGAAAAGAATAATTCTGAGACAGACACACACAATGAGAGAAAGAAAATAACTACAGATCGAATTTAGATTGAGATGGGGTCAGAAAAGGTCTTTTGAGTCTCTGAAATCTTATTTATCTAGGTTTTATATTTGGTACCATCTTCTTACTTTCCTGTATTGTCTACAGCCCTGGGAACTGAGAAGGTATACCTGAAAGGTGTTGAGAGATTGAATGGACCTTCCTGATTGGCTACCTGGCTGGCTGGCTTAGTCCCTCTTCTTCTCTTCCTTCCTTTCTTCATTTCTTTTATTCACTTTTTATTCAATCACCAAACATCTATTCAGCATCTACTTTTCACACAGTACAGTGGCACTAGGAATATGCCAATGAGCAAAATTGACATAGTCTCTGCCTTTGTGAAGCTTATGGTCTTGTAGAAAGAGGCACAATGAAATAACTTTAAAGTGTCTTGTGATGACAGAGAAATGTGCTACGGAGGCTTATTTCATAGTTCTATGGGTGTTTAACATGGAGGCTTGATCTGGTGTAGGGCTGGAAAGGCCTCCCCAGGAGGTGACAGGCACAGCTCTGGGGGGATACTGAACATACACTAGACCAAGGTCAGGTGGTGGAGATCACTGCAGTCACTTGTAATCAAGTCCTGAAATCATGGCTGGGAAATCAGTGACCTTCACGTACGAGGGCAGTGCTGATTTTGTTATAGTAATATATTTTTTATAGATGAGAAAAAAGAACTGTGGCTTCAGGAAGTTTAGTGAGTCACTCAAGCCCCTGGAGACTGGACAGAACTGACATTTGAGCCTAGGTGTGCAGACTGAAAGTGTCTCCAGCATTTTCCACACCCTCTCAGGCCATGGTCATCTGACTATAGTTAAAGCACCTGATGCCTGGCTGGTTAACACCACCAAACAAACTTCAAGCACATAAAACACATACTAAAATCATCATTTCTCATGGTTAGAAATGAAACAGCATGGCCGGGTGCGGTGGCTCACACCTGTAATCCCAGCACTTTGGGAGGCCAAGGCAGGTGGATCACTTGAGGTCAGGAGCTTGAGACCAGTCTGGCCAACATGGTGAAACCCCGCCTCCACTAAAAATACAAAAATTAGCCGGGTGTGGTGACAGACACCTGTAATCCCAGCTACTCGGGAGGCTAAGGCAGGAGAATCGCTTGAACCTGGGGCGGAGGTTGCAGTAAGCCGAGATCCTGCCACTGTGCTCCAGCCTGGGTGACAGAGCAAGACTCTGTCTCAAAGAACAAAAAAAAAAAAAAAAGAAAAAAGAAATGAAACAGCACCATCATGCCCTGGTACCTTTTCTCCTTATGAAGACAACTAAATAGTAGTAGCCTTCTAAACCCCTACTGGTCTAGTTCCTGCCTATTTGGTTTCCAAGTCTGTGCATCTAATCACTATACTAAGTGTCATGTCCAAGGTCAAACGCTGTGGCACCTTTGAGAGTCTCAGATCCTTAAAAGAATACTTCTTTTACTCATTTTTTGTGCCTATCATGTATTTGGGCAAAAATAGGGCCTCATGTTTAGTGTTCCTGGCTCTGTTTCCATAGAGTGAAAATAACTATTCTGAGCAAGAGGAAACCCAGATTAAACAAAAGTATCTTATCAAGTTCCTTCTCTCCCTTGCAGATTTTTTAAAAGCATCATTATCTTCCCCTGAATGTAAAAATATGTCATTTGGGATAAATTATATTTTCATAATAATGCCTCCAAAATTCCCCCAAACATCCGTTTAATTCCCATGAGGACATGTGCTCAGACCAGGGACTGTAGTGAGAGTGAAGGCTTTGGAGTCAGGCACACCCCTCTCCGGCTCTGTGACCCCAGCCAGGCCCTCAGGCATTCTGAGCTTCAGGCTTCTCTGTGAAGCTTAAATGATGAGAGAGAATGGGATGGAATTAAAGGAGAGAATCTGTACAAAGCACATAGCTGAGGCCAGTTGGGAGCACAGTCCTCACTAAACTTTGGTTATAATAATTATCTTCTTTCACAAATGAAGATGTGTGTGACTCAGGGAGCAAAGAGGACTTGCCTGGCATTGCACAGCTAAAGTGTCATCTGGACAAGCCCACTTCCCCCTATATGAAGTGCAGGGTACTTCCAATCAACCATGTATTCTTTAGGTAAGAACACAAATCTAACATGTCAATGGGAAATAGCATTCATCCCACTGCCTATCTTTGACCTGAATTTCTGGGATCTCAAATCATTACTCCTTCTTCTCCACCCCCCACCCTGCCCCTTCCTGCTACACCAGGGGTTTTATGGCCCACTGCAGCATGCAGAGGTATTAGTAGGGAGAATATGCTTGTCACGTTTTGACTCTCTCTTCCCTTCTAGGGCAACCCGTTTCCATGAAAACAGGACAGTGAGTAGTAGGAAGAAGAGTATCAGTGGTGATCTTTACCATCATTTATCGGGAGCAAACTTGAATTAGTTTCTTTGGGAGGAAAACTTCCTCTGAAGACTACAAGGAAGCGGAAGATAGTACAGTCACTCAGGCAGTCCAAGGCAGGCATGAGATGGTAAGAATCCTTTACATTTAACTTCTCAGAAGTTTATACTTATATTACCTAATTTGATCCTCTCAGCAGTCCTGTAAGGCAGCAGGATGGGGAGTCTTATTCTTAGCTATGTAAACTGAGTCAGAGGGGAGCTATGTAGGTTATATTGCATCAAAGCCATTTATGCATTTATCCATTCATTCATACAGCAGATATTTATTGAGTAACTAGTATGTGCTGAGCCTGCTTTAGGCATGGGAAATATACTAAACACTGCCCCTGGCCTCAAAGAACATATATTAGTGGGGAAGACTAGTAGAGGCACATAAATAGGCAATTATAATTAGTATGGTTAGTACAATAAAATAAATATGCCAGGAAATTAAAGGAAGGGGAAGAGGAACAGAAAAAAAAATGCTTAGCCTGAGGGGAACTCATAATGAGAAAAGGCCTTCTGGAGGAGGTGACACCTGAGATTTGAAGGCTAACGAGGAGTAATTGAGATGGAAGAATTGGAAAGACAGGATAAGAAAAGGCATGGCCTAGAGAAATAGGTTAAGAATAAAAAAAAAAACAACAAGAATGAAAAGTCAAGAAGATTATAGAATTTGTTCTTGAAGTATCCTGAATGCCTTGAGAAGGACCTTGATTTGAACCCATGGTTAGTGATAGGGTTGTGGGGGTACTGAAGGGTTTTAGGTAAGGAGATAATAGCCTAGTTTCACTAGATTCAAACTTAGGGCTTTGATGTTCTGGTACAACACCGATAGCCCAGCCTCATCTCTTCACAGCTGGGGCCATTCAATCAGCCCTCACCACTAGGCCAAGCCTTACTCAGGTTCCTGAAACCTGCCTGCCCCTAGGCAGGGCCACCTGAGAACCCAGGATTAGCCAATGCAGGTAATAAAGGCTCTAAGGCTACTTATTCTTCCTTTGATCTCATGTCTTTGTTCTGCTTCTTGGGTTGTTGCTGTCTCAAGACCCAAACCTCAGGCCCAGCTCTCACCCTTTAGCAGAGCCCTCCTACATGTCCAGTCTTCTCCATCCACGGGAGTAGAAGTGCCCACTCCTACCACCCGCCAGGGAATGTCCCCTAGTGCTGTGAATTTCTGCTTTGACACCACCCTTTCCTTTAGCTCAGGTGCCTAGGGCCCGGATCAAGAATGCTTGCATCTCACCAGCCTGGACTCTGTACTTTTCATACATTCCCACATACTTGACTTTCTAGTTTATACGCAAGTCCCCTGCCCCTGAAACATATCTCAAATGTCCTCACCTCATACCCCTTTCATTTATCCTACACTGCCCGACACCCCAGGTTCCCTGAGATTTGAAAGCACTTTCCTTTTCTATTTCTACCACAACTGTAAAACTAGAAGGCTTCAAGGAGACCAAGAGAGAGAACAAAAGAGCCAGAGTTACTGTCTGCCCCCAAATCATTTGAGGAGAAATTCAGACAGTAGCTTGGAAAGATGAAAAGGATCCACTGGCTTTTGGTGAGACAGAACAAAAGAAATCAATTTCCAAGGATAGTTACAGTCTCTTCTGAGAGCCCCCACATTCTTGATATCTGCTCACCCTTGATATCTGACTGAGTTCCTCATCCTCTTCCATCCCCCAGAGAATGCCTCATCACCCTGGCCTGCCTTCATCAAGAATCTTGTTAGGTTGGTTTAGCCAGAATCCCATTTACCTCTGATGTGTCATCTTAGTAATTTTCCATCCACCAACCTCTACATTACTCTTTGTCTATACAATCCCACTTGCCCATGTTGTATTCAGAGTTGAGCCCAATCCCACTCCCCAGCTGCAGTACCCCTATCATGGTGGTCCTAAATAAAGTATTCCTTACCATACTTGCTTAATAAGCATAACTGCATAATTTTTTCTTGAACAGTCATAAAGATGCCATGATTCCTCAGGGAGATGAACAGATTGAGCTTCTATCTAACATTCAACTTGCCTAGGGCTTCTCCTGAGAGCAATGCGAGAAGAGGGAAAGTGCTGGGGACAGGGGTATCACAATGGCAGATAATAGCAGCTGTCTCTTGGCAGTAGAGTTAAGCACAAGTTGAGGCTGCAAAATACTTTGAACTTCAAAGAAAAGAGAACAAGTGTGAGGCAGAGTAGAAAAAAAAACATGCTTGAAAATAAATCAGAGAAATCATGTTCTAGCGCCTACACTGCCACTACGTTACATGAGCTGGGTGTGCAACTATCCTCTCAAGAGTCTCAGTTTCCCAATCTGGGGAGTGAGGAGCATGGGCACCACAGGATGCCAATCGGGCTTTGATATTTTCCACAGATCTGCACTTCACTTTCTAGATCTGTTGTCCTTGCTCCCCGAGAGAGAACGCAGCAGGCCAGCCAGTAATGTGCTGTGAGGCCTGGTGCACGGTGATTTACTGTGAGGATGTGTGGATACCCAATGGTACCTTTGAAACAAGCTCGCAATCCACAATCTTGAGTGTCATCATTATTGGTCTCATGGGAGAAGTCTGTTTCTTCCCTGCCCTTCGAATCTCAGCACAAGGTGAAAGGCTCCAGGTACTCTCCCTGGGCTCTGCAAGATCTACATCTCAGAATACAGGGACACATCTATTTCAAGGCGGCCTTCAGGCAAAGGAGAAATGGCCAGCCCTAGATACAGGGTCAGTGGGATACTGTTCACAAATCTGTTTTGAAATCCTACTATGTGAACCTACTGTGTGCTCTTCGCCTCTCTGAATCTATTCTCCATCTAGTCTCCCTTTGCCTGGAATGCCTTCTACCCTTTCTTTAGCCCCTAAAATGTCTTTTGTCATTCAGGTTCCCCTACAGATAGCATCTTCCCTGTGAAGTCTTCCTTGATATAACCAACAAACTAACTACCCCTCCCTGTTCTCTGCTCCAGGACATGCCAATACCTACACTTCATAGCCATTTTCACCTGCCCTCTTTTATAATTAATGACCTGTGCATCTCTCCCTCATCTAATGATTGCAAGCTCATTGAGCTGAAGGAAGATAGTGTCTCTGTCATTGATTTCAACTAACATCTTGCATCCTCACTGCCCTCCATGTATGTTTTATCAAGCAGAGGAAGACGAAGTAAGAAAATCTGAATGGCATGTTTGCTAATCCAGTGGCTGCTGCCAGCTAGTTTTTTTTTTTTTAGAAGATTTTTGCTACAGTACACTACAAACTCTCTTTCTCACATCCTATGGCTTCAAATACCAATTCTAGGCTAATTCTCTCAAATTTGAATTTTTACCCCTGACTGGTACACTGAGCTACAGAATCCTCTATCCCCTTAGGTGTCTAATACCTAATTCAAATGCAATATATCCAGAAAGTAAGAGGAGTGACAGGCTCAGAGAGAAGTATCCTGGCAAAGCAGTGGGGGCTTCTCAGCCCAGATCATAGCTGGTGACAAAGGCCAGGTTGGAAATAAAAACTGCTGGGGCCTCTTGCCTCCTTCCCTGGTCAGCCAGATCCCAAGTTTGGGCATAGGAACTTCCTTCTTAGACAAGGAAAACATAAGAACTTAATTGATCCATAATCTTTATGTGAAACAGGAAAAACAAATTCCTTACATAATTGGTATATAAATCATTTCAGATATGAGTAATGATGCTGGGGCAGGCCATTTATTTTGAGTATTAGAGACTTTTAAACCCCAGTTTAATTGTATTTAGAATCGTCTCTGAAATTACATGCACTACTCTGGAAAGAAATCAGTTCCTGGGCACCAGAGGTATTCAATCTAAGACAGGCTGGCCACACGGCAGGGATGTTAAACATAGGATTAAGTCATGAGACCAAGGTTAGACTGGATGTGCTCAAAGGACCATTCAGTGGTTTGATTTCAGCTTACCAATAACAATAATAAATGATGATAAAGATGCTAATGATGCTGATGACGAAGATTCTGCAGTTGTTCCTCTGCTGTAGCTGAAGATAACTGCAACGATGGCTAACATTTATTGAGCTCTATCCATGCTCAATTATAGGCATTTTTAAATACTTTACATCCATTATCTCAATCCTCAAAACAAGCCTAAAAAAATGAGTATTATTACCTTTATTTAGCAAATGAGGAAATGGAGGTATAGAGAACTTCAAAAACTTATCCAATTTCACATAGCTAGTTAGGAAGCAGCAGGACATATATTTCAGTACAGCTCCATATGACATACTCTTAACCATAACCCCATGTGATCAGTTTTATGGAGACAACTGCAGAATATATGTTCTTCTTTGGGTCCTGGGATGGAGTTAAGAAAAATATAATGCTAGCACACATCATGAACACAGGATATGATGACTACTCATGCATAAATGCATATAGGAATGACATTTATTTGGGGGTGAATTAGAACATCCAACCATAATTCAGAAGATGTGAATTTTGGTGTGAGATCAGTCACTGCCTTGTTGTGTGACCCAACTGTATTGTTATCCCTTCTCTGTACAACTTCAATATAAAATGAAATGGGAAACCAGATGATCTCTAAAGTCAGTTCTGTAAGTGTTTAGGTATTTGTGGAATCTCAATCTCATCTATTCATCTATCTGTCTACCTGTCCATCTATATCTAGAAGTAAATGGCAGGTAAAGTATCACCCTATGTGGATTTAAGCAAAATGTAAATTCAAAAGCCCCCAAGTGCTCCTTCAAACCAATAGGGATTTCAAGTTGTGGGTCAAATAAGGAAATGCAAGGCATCTCCAAATATTATAAATAGGCCAGAAACTGAAGAAAGCATCTATTTTTCCTCTGAGAGTCCCCAGGAGTAAAAGAGAAAGTTTGGCTCCTAAAATTTCTTGTCCATTATTGAATGCAACATCTACCCTGTTTCCTAGTCAGAACTAGAGGTCTTGTACCTATACACTAAGAGTAAAAGGTGTTCAGGGTATTGCTACAATCTTCTGCAGATAAATATTAATAATCACATTTCATTCTCTTCCTCAGGCCTTGTAAGAGAACACTGCCTCCTTGAAGACTGCCATAAGCCATGAGGAATGTCTTCTAAATCAGAATCATGTCCACACAACAAAGTTTTATTAATAGAAAAAAAAATCTTTCAAAAAACAAATCAATAGCTGGTTTGCCGATTAACTGCCTAGAATCCCTGATTTCCCACATGAGTTCATATTATGAATCCACCAGAGAATCCTTTCAATACAACTTTGGTCATTGGGAGGCACGGAAACAGCATTGCCCAGGTCCTGCCACCTTCTGGCCATGTGACCCTGGGTGAGTCCCTCCACCTGTCCTAACTTACTGTGCCTCTTCAGGGGAATTTCACTGGTCATGGAAATGGACCAGTTTACAGCGAATCCACTTAAGACAAATCCTAAAATTGCACACTAAACAGAAGATGTTCAACTGGGACTCCAACTTAAAAATAAAACCAAAATCTTTTAAAATAAGTTATTTCTGTATTATTTTAGGGTATTTTAAGTCTATGCTAATTCTACAAAGCAACAAGCAATAATTGAAGTATGGTCAGTATTTTTGGCATACATTTTCCTAAAAAAAAAAAAAGCAAGATTTTTCTTTTTTTTCATATTTGACTTTCACAGATGGTCAATAACAGGGTCATCTTTTAAAAAATATTTAAGAGTAATAAAAATTTCTCTAAAGTCCTCTCATAATCCTTCGGGTAAACATTTACCTTGAAAGAGCTTATTGTGTTTAATCCTCAGTGCTTCTCTCTTCTTCAATTGTTAACTGAATATTCAGACAGATCCTTATTTGCTTATAATTCAAGTATGTTTTTAACACAGCTTTCAACAACTTCATGAAATCATCATCTTTACTATAATTGGTAATTTTACTTCAAAACTACAGAATTTGATTTATTTGATTTATTTTTGTTTGTATCATTTGATTTATTTGTAAAATTTATTTTTGTTTGTATCATTTGATGTTTATAATATCTATTAATTATCATAGACCAACAAAAATATTGATATGATAGATGGGAAAACAAGAGGGTAAGAATTCTTGAGTGGGGATAATTTTAAAGTGGCCAATTCACTAATGAATATTTTCTTGTAAAGACAATTTTTGCTCCTCTCTGCAACCTCAAAATTACACGGCCTTGGATAACCTCCCATCCTCACCCGATCTCTCCCCCTTTAGGTCTTTCCACAAATTTCACCTCAACAAAGCCTTTTGTGAAATTCTTATATAAAACTGCAATTCAATTCTAACCCCATGTACACTCACTCCATTTATCCTTTTTCTGCTGATTTCTTTCCAGCACTTACCAATACCAAACATACAGGCATACCCCACATATATTGTGGGCTTGGTTCCAAACCACCATAATGAAGCAAATAGCAAAATAAAGTCAGTCACGTGATTTGTTTCCAGGGGATACAGAAGTTATGTTTACATTAAACCATAGTCTATTAAGTGTGCAATAGAATTATGCTTAAAAATCAATGTACATATCTTAATTTAAAGATACCTTATGGCTAAACATACTAACAATTATCTAAGCCTTCAGTGAGTTCTAATCTTTTTGCTGGTGAGGGCCTTGCTTCAACGTTGACAGCTGCTGACTGATCAGGGTGGTGGTTATTGAAAGGTAGGGTGACACAGCAATTTTTAAAAATAAGACAACAATAAAGTTTCCCTCATTGACAGACTCTTCCTTTCATGAAAGATTTCTCTACAGCACCTGACACTGTTTGATAGCATTTTATCCACAGTAGAACTTCTTTTAAAATTGGAGTCACTCTTCTCAAACTCTGCCACTGTTTTATCAACTAAGTTAATGTAATATCCTAAATCATTTGTTGTCATTTAAACAATGTTCATAGCATGTTCACCAGGCATAGATTTCATCTCAACAAACCACTGTCTTTGCTCATCCATAAAAAGCAACTCCTCATCCATTGAAGTTTTATCATGAGATAGCAGCAATTCAGTCACATCTTCAGGCTCCACTTACAATTTTAGTTCTCTTGCTATTTCCACCTCATCTTCAGTGACTTCCTCCACAGAAGCCTTGAACCCCTCAAGGTCATCCATGAGGGCTGGAATCAACTTCTTCCAAACTGCTGTTAATGTGGATATTTTGACCTTTTTTCATGAATCATGAATCTTCTTAATGGAGTCTAGAATAGTGAATCCTTTCCAGAAGGGTTTCAATTTACTTTTCCCAGATCCCTCAGAGGAATCACTACCCATGGCAGCTATATCCTTATGAATCCAATTCTTATATAATAAAACATGAAAGTCAAAACTACACTTTGACCTACGGGTTGCAGAATGTATGTTGTCTTAGCAGCCATGAAAATAACATTAATCTCCTTGTACATCTCCAGTGGAGCTCTTGAATAACCAGGTGTATTGTCAATGAGCAGTAATATTTTGAAAGGCATCTTTTTTTTCTGAGCGGTAGATCTCAACAGTGGACTTAAACTACTCAGTAAACCATGCTATAAACATATGCTGTCATCCGTGCTTTGCTATTACATTTCTAGAGCACAGGCAGAGCAGATTCAGCATAATTCTTAAAGGTCCTAGGATTTTCAGAATGGTGAATGAGCATTGGCTTCAACTTCAAGTCACCAGCTGCATTAGCCCCTAACAAGAGAGTCAGTCTGTCCTTTGAAACTTTGAAGCCAGGCATTGACTTCTCCTCTCTAACTATGAAAATCCTAGATGGCATCTTCTTCCAATAGAAGGCTGTTTTGTCTCTATTGAAAATCTATTATTTTATGTAGCCACCTTCATGATGTTACCTCGATCTTCTGGACAAGTTGCTGCAGCTTCTGCATCAGCACTTGCTGCTTCCCTTTGCACTTTTATGTTATGAAGATTGCTTCTTCACACCTCATAAACCAACCTCTGCCAGCTTCCAACTTTTCTTCTATAGCTTCCTCATCTCTTTCACACTTCAAGAATTGAAAAGAGTTAGGGCCTTGCTCTGAATTTGACTTTGGCTTAAGGGAATGCTGTGACTGGCTTGATCTTCTACCCAGACCACTCACACTTTCTTCATGTTTTCAATAAGGTTGTTTCACTCTCTTATCATTTGCATGCTCACTAGAATAACATTTTTAACTGCCTTCAAGAGCTTTTCCTTTGCATTCACAACTTGGCTGTTTGGCAAAAGTGGCCTAGCTTTCAGCCTGTCTTGGCTTTGGACATGTCTTCCTCACTAAACTTAATCATATCTAGCTTTTGATAAAAAGTGAGAGATGTGCAAATTTTCCTTTTACTTGAACACTTAGAGGCCACTGTAGGGCTATAAATCAGCCTAATTTCAATATTGTTGTGTCTCAGAGAATAGGGGGGCCTGAGGAGAGGGACAGAGATGAGGGAACGGCATGCTGATGGAGCAGTCTGAGCACGCATGACATTTAGTGATTAAGTTCATTGTCATTCATGGGCACAGTTCATGGTGCTCCCAATTATAATAGTAACATCAAAGATCCAATGTCACAGATTACTATAACAGATGTAATGATAATGAAAAACTTAGAAATATTGCAAGAATTACCAAAATATAACAGAGATTCAAGTGAGCACATGCTGTTAGAAAAATGGTGCCACTAGACTTGTTCCATGCAGGGTTGCCCAAACCTTCAACTTCTTAAAACACACACACACACACACACACACACACACACATATACACACTATGCAGCCATAAAAGAGAATGAGTTCATGCCTTTGCAGGGACATGGATGAAGCTAGAAACCATCATCCTCAGCAAACTAACATAGGAACAGGAAACCAAACACTGCATGTTCTCACTCATAAGTGGGAGTTGAACAATGAGAACACAGGGACACAGGGAGGGGAACATCACACACTGGGGCCTGTTGGGGTGGTGGGGGTGGGGGGCAAGAGGAGGGAGAGCATTAGGACAAATTCCTAATGCATACAGGGCTTAAAACATAGATGATGGGTTGATAGGTCCAGCAAACCACCATGGCAAATGTATACCTATGTAACAAACCTTCATATTCTGCACATGTATCCCAGAACTTAAAGTAAAATTAAAAAAAAACATACAAATGCAATATCTACAAAGAGCAATAACATAAAGCACAATAAGGTAAAGTATGTCTGTACTTTGTATGTCATTTTATTCTCCTTCTTCCTCTGCCCCACTAGGATGAAAATTCCATGAGAGTTTTGTTTGTTTCATCCTCTACTTATCACCATTACCTACAACTATGGTTGGCTAGGACTGTGTGTGTGTGTGTAGGGACTTAAAAATATGTGTTGAATGAGTGAATATTCAAATGAGAACACCCTCCAAATATCCCAAGGGTTAGAGAATGTTGCTGATAAGACTAGGGTTATCGGTTTTATGCTTCAGACTAGGAGAGACAAATAGATTTCATCATGGCTTTTTTAGTGGCTGCCTGGAGCCCTGCGTGAAAGGAGTGATATGATCATAAAAATGAGTGACATGATCGATTAGCAATGTCTGCCCTTGGGCATCAGAAACGCCCACTGGGATAATGGCATTATGCCAACTATTCGTCACTCCTGCCCCTAAATTGTTACATAATTACCCCCTAACTTTTCACTGGTGTCTACCTTTATACACACACACACACACACACACACACACACCACTAAACAAAAGTCTAGCATGGTTCACTCTGTTTTAACAGATAGTGGACATTTTTGAGATATCAGCTAAAATATTTCTACTTTACTCCATTTTAGCTGCCAGCTAATTGCTAAATGCCAACATGTTGCAAGTAGTTGTCAAATAATCCAGCATCCTTGGGAATCAGAATTCTAGGTTGAAAGAATCTTTAGAAATAATCTGCTCCAAACTAATCATCTTACAAATGGAGAAACCAAGACTTAAAAGATTAAGCATTTGTTCTCAAATCACACAGCTAAAATCATACAAATAAGGACTTCATATCCTTAGCATTTCCAAACAAAAGACAAACCAGAGACTTAAGGTAATTAAAGTTTAGAAAAAAGGAAAAAGGGAAGAAATGAAATATCTGAGCAGACACTACACAGGACATGCACACATTCTGTGTTACCTATCTGGGTAAAGTCAACAACCCTGACTTCCCATTCCAAAAGGCCTCAGTGTCTCAGGTCATCCTCTGAGTCCAGTCCTCCCTGTGTTTGTTACCTTTTGTCAGAATAAGAACATGTTGCTAATGTTAATTGATCACAAGTCCTCAGATAGATAATTTACGAGATGGCTTCACTTAAAACTGAATTATATTTCCCTGGCCTGGGGGTGGCCTTTCTCTCAGACAACCAGTTTTATTCCCTCTGGCTCTCTCAGAAAGATGTTTCTTGCCACCAACACAGTCAGATGGCATCTGAGAGAGCATTTTCAACTGACAAGTCCCTATTCTCCCAAAAATGTTTCCTGGAAAATTCCAACAAAGCTTTCCTATACAAATGCTACTACTTAATCAAAATTGTAAAAGCCAGCCAGCAGTTTCCTTGAGCCTTCCTTATGCTGGCTAGGCTATGCTGTATTGCACCAACACTGTCTTCTGTACACCCATGGAACTTGGTAATTTGGAGGGCAGCAGAGGGCAAGGGAAACTCAGCAATGAGATCATTCCTACATTTGCCTCACTCCCCGCTTCCCTTCAAGCCTTACCTATGGAGGGTCTCCAGCTCAGCCAGGCTAGGAGAGAGATATCTCTATTAGAAAACTCATCCTGGAGGCTGCCAAGCTCTGTGTAAACAGGAAAGATTGCTCGGCAATTGAAGAGGTCACCCAAGAGTCTGAGATAAATAAACAAATCCTGAGGTTTCAGTGACCCACAAAGTCCTAAAAAAAATACAGTTTACATAGGAGAGGGAAAAAAAGATATTTTCCATTCAAAACAGCTGATGGGTGTTTTTTTTTCCTCCTTTCAAATGGACAAAATAATACCTTAAGGAGGAGCAGAAAATGGGGCTATTTTTTCATTCCCTAAGGAGAAATTCTTGGGAGAACTAAGAGCCAAGGAGAAGGATTAGCTGGAATCGAAGCTCTACTGCAGTGAGATCCGTGCCAAGCAAGGAGGAAGCACGGCCAAGTCTATTTTCAGCTGCACTTATGCTCCTCAGTGATGATGCCCGGCTGACATGCCCGGCTGTGTGCTTCGTGAGGGCAAGAACTGTGCCTTGGTCAGCACTGTAGCCCCAGCCACTCCAGATGGCCTGGCCCATCATGAGTGCTCAGTAACTGCTTGGTGAACAAGGTCATCAATCTTATCCCTATTTCCTACCCTTGCCTCAACCCTACTAGGTTTCTGCCCCTGGGCTGTGATGCTCATGCTGGACCCTACCACAAGTAACACTGCTCTGTGGTCTTCAGTTTCCCCATATATTCATCGAACTTTTATTAAGGGTTCTATGCCAAAACAGTGATAGGAGCTGCTTCTAATAGTTCATCATTTAATCTTCACAATATAATTGTGAGCTAGGTACTAGTATTTTTATCGCCTATTTTACAGATGACGAAACAGATTCAGAGATGTTAAGGAACTTGCCCAAGATCACAACACACCTTAAACTCAAAGCCAGGCCTAACTCTAAAGCCTATGCATTTAATCCCTAACCCTTTAGCCTCATTGGTGATTCGTACAGTAAAAATTGTCACTAAGATAGTGCCTCTCAAACCATTGTTCACACAAATAGTCTTGTTAAAATGCAGATTCTGATTCAGAAGGTCTGCGAACTGCACTTTGGGTATCCACCTTGTTTAAGGAAACTTTTATTTCTGATGTCATCCATTTCTACTATACAATAATTATATTTTGGCCTAAAAATGTGTTATTTCATTGTGCATTGATGGCTAGTGATATATTTAACTAGGGCTTCCTGGTATAACGTGAAGTCTCAGGGTCTCTGCATGGGAACCTGGAGGGAACATTGAAGGTTGGGTGGAAGCAATGTGAGATGGCCTTATTTGCATTTTAGAAGTTCTCTCTGGCTGAAGTCTGGTGGGTGGTTTGGGGAAGGATGAGACTGAAAGTGGAAGACCAACAACAAGGCTATTGCAGTTGTCCAGGCAAGAGACAACGGTAGCTTGGAGAAGCTCACCCTGCCTGGCCTTGGTCCACTTTTGTGCTGCTCTAACAGAATACCACACTCTCAGTAATTTAAAATGAGCAGAAATTGATTGGCACAGAGTTCGGGAAGCTGAAAAAGTCCAAGATCAAGGAACCACATCTGGCAACGGCCTTCTTGCTGTGTCATGCTCTGACAGAAGGGCAAAGAGAGGGTGAGAGAGAGCAAGAAGAGGCTGAACTTCCAGCCTCAAGCCCTTTTATAATGGGAATTAATCAATTCTTAAGGGCAGAGCCCTTGTGACCTAAACACCTCCCATTAGGCCCCACCTCCCAACACTGTTACTTTGAAGATTAAGTTTTCTATACATGCATTTTAGGGGACACATTCAAACCATAGCTGTCTCCTTGGTTCTAATTTTAATTCTGCCACTAATGTGCAATAATTAGAATCAAAGGATCTTGAGGGAATTAAGGCAAACACTTAATCTAATCATGTAATTTTATAGAGAGAAGCTGTAAGACAGAAATTCCCAAATTCATGTAATTTATCTATTGTAGCACTTTTCAAAGTATTTTCTACAGGATGCTAACAGGTATTAGGTACAAAAATTAAAATTAGGAAGAATTTCAGTAGTCAAATATGTTGAAGAGATACTTGATTAAACAGAGTTAAGCAGGTTTATTTACTACAGGACTTATCAGAGCATTTAATAAGCTCAGAGCCTTTAATGTTCTTTGTAAGTTTCCCAGAGTGAGATAAAGTAAACCTATTTTACAAATGCCCAGGGATTTTTTTTAGGATTTATGTTTCATGAAAAATGCTTTGGGAAGCTGGTGTCTGGTGTTCTTTCTTTGGAACACACTGTGTCTTGTTACTTGAGTGGATTAAATACATCTCCCTGATGCAGGCATACTCTACCTTCCACTTGTCCCAGAACTCTCTGTACATCCCTCACATATGCCTACATAACTCTTTTTCCTTTAATTTTTCTTCTATAACTTCTTGTAGTTCAGGAAGTATGAATTAACTTGATTGGTAGGTACTGTGTGATCCCCTAGTGGAGAAAATTATGTTCAAATCAAGCAAGGCAGTGTCATAAGATTGAGTGCAAACCCTGGCTTTGCTAATATATTTTTTATATAACCACAAAAAATATAACCCAACTGGGGCTTTATTTTTTTTCTTATTTTTCAAATGATGCAACACAACCAAACTATCTCTCCCTCTAGCTCTATTCCTATAGAGTCAATGCTGTGGTTAAGGCTTTCTGACCTCTCTCAGCAAGATCAGAAACTACTTGACAGACCAGACCAGTAACTTAATTGAACTCAAACATTCCTGTTGTATGTCCATGCCCTCCCCTTGGGGCCTCCATTTACTGTCCCTGAAAGGGATGCCACTGCCGTATCTAGTCACCTTTCCTCCATCAAATTATACCATTCAGTGTCTCCTTATATCCAGAGACACCAAGTTAGAAGGGGCCTTCCTGAGGGTTCATCACTGTCTTTTTACAGATGAGGTGACTGACTGGTCCACAACCCTACAAAATGTGAGTGGCCCAGCAATGGTCTCCTGATTCCTTGTCCTGTGCTCTCTCCTGGGCACCGTGACCTTTTGAATATGCTAAACAACTCTCTCCCAGCTGCCTTGATCATCACAAAGCTGCCACCCTTCAGAGACCAACATAAATTCCTATCAGGTCCACACTCTGTCATGATTTGTCTCAGAGCTGACTGCCCAGGCTGCCACAGCCAATCCACACCACTTTGGTCATGAGGAACAGCCTCAGGGAAAATCGTTGCCTCATTCAGCCTTGTCCCAGCTGCAAGCAAAACCTGCCAGACCTTATTCTACTCCTCTCTTCCTGCCCCCTTCCTTCTCCTGGCCCATTGTCTTTCAGGCAGGTTTCCCAGGGGGGCACGATGTCTCTTGTGGTTGGACTCTGTGTGCATATGAAATATTATCTGCATAATTTATCACTCACAATGCATTCTTCTTCCCTCGACTAAAGGAATATGGTTCTATATCTGTATTGGGGGAGACAGAGATTTTTACTTATTAAATGTGCTTATGCATAAGTATATGCTATTTGCCAGTCACTTGACAAGCCATATGCTTTAACATTTCCATGTCATTCCTCAAGCTAGTCCCTTGGCTTAGAAGGACCTTCTCTCCCTTTACTTCCCATTGACATCCCATCTACCTGTGGAGGACTTCTATCTGCCTGCTCCCTCTTTGGGTAATGAAATTAGTAACTCTAAGTTTTCTTTGACAATCTACCCTTCTCATGCAACTCAGTCCATGTGGTTTGTGTGGAAATAGTTACAGAATAGGTAAATAATCCACACTTGGCCAGTCAGAGCCTATATTCACCTACCCATAGTGATTTGTTCAAAGATATGCAGGTGACCCCAGCAGGCCTACTACCATCAGCCCAGGACTGTTGCTAGCAATTCTGGGAAAGGGATCTATTTCCACTGAGATGCTAGTTTGGCAGAAGGTAAGCCTACATTTGTGCCAACCTGAGAATATGAGTAAAGCCAATAGGAAGGCACATAGAGTCCCAAGACATAGGAATATTACTGATGACATTGTTTGAGCTTCAGAATTCAGCCATCCTTTAAAAGTAGCCCAATCTACTGTGTTTTCAGATCTGTGAGCCATCACCATAAATAATGATGGTGATGGTGATGGTGATGATGATAATGATGCTGATGCCAACTGTGATGATTGCAAAGTCAGCTTAAGCTAGTAGAATGTGTGCTGTAGTGTGCCACGCTGACCCTTCTTTAGGACTGAAGCACTAACACCTTTAGTGGCCAGGAATGCTATCTGCTGATGGTCTAGCAATGTGGTTAACCAAATGAAACTGTCTCACCCAGGGTTATGTTCCCTCTCAAGAAGCAGCTCACATCTGATTAACTAATCAATTCAGGAAGATAAAAGCCAACCCCTTGTCTCAATTCCATACAATTCTGAAGGAACATCTCAACTCTAGAATTCACCACGGAATAGCCTGAGGCCTCTGTTGCAACTAAACTGCAGGCTAACACCCACTTCTGTCTAATCCTGCTTCCTTACTGCCTCACAGGTGGTGTTCCCAAAAATAGTCCCCCATATACTCTTTACATGCAAATCTTCATCTCAGAGTCTGTTTCTTGAGGAACTTAAGTGAAGAATTCCTTAAAGGAATTCTAATATGCCATCCTACAAGACCCAACCCAAATACCACCTCTTTCATAAAACCTTCAGTAACATTAAATGCTCCCTCCTAAGCTCCCATAGCTTGTTTACTTGTGCCTTAATTTAGATTTACCCCTTCCTCCTGATATTATGGTTAATGGGCTGTGTGTCTTTCTCTCATCATGAAATTGTAAGCTCTCAGACTTTTTTAGGTCTGCTTAAGCCTGACCATTTTGCACATAAGTTGCACTCATCATAAACTGAGGGTCACTTTGAAGAGTGTCCTCATCAAATCCCTCACTGTGATCACTGTGGGGCAGTGTTGAGAATTGTAATAGTTATCTATTTCTACATATCAAGTTATCCCCAAACTTAGCAGCTTAAAACAATGGTAACATGTGTTATCTCCCCAGTTTCTGAGGGTGGGGAATCCAGAAGTAGCTCTGCTGGGTGGCTCTGGCTCAGAGTCTCTCATAGTCAAGATACCAAAGAAAGTTGCAGTCATTTGCAGACCTAACTGGGGCTGAGGGATCTATTTGAAGATGATTCTCTCACATGGTTGTTGACTAGAGCCCTCAATCTCTCAACACAAGGTCCTCTCCATAGAGCTGCTTGAGCATCCTTACAACATGGCAAATGGCTTCCTTCAGAGTGAGTGATACCAGAGAGATAATAATAAGAATGCCACAATCCCTTTTATGTCCTAACATCAGATGTCCAACAATTAAGCAGAGGAGAATTAGCACACCTACATTTCCATTTTTAAAGAGAGGTGTCTCAAAAAAAAAAAGTGGATATATTTGAAAACCACCACAAGAATTTTGCTCTTTGCATTGCATAGCTTCCTCTCTGAGCCATAGGAAAATCCTCTCTAATCCCACTACAAAGAATCTTAACACTTTCCATAAGCAGCTTGATTGTTTTTACCTCCTGTGCACTGTAAATTGGGTAATAAATCCTGTGTTACTCTTTGCTTCTCAGAAATTTAAAGCTAGATTTGTAGCCTACCTCCATTAGGGGCAAAATATTTCATGGCATGTATTTTATATACTATCTTTATTTCTAAGTTTTGCTTTTCTCTTCTTTGATTTTCCTATTGTGCCATTTTTTATTTTAAAATTTATTTTACTTTGGTATATGCTGTGCATGTTAATAAGCTGCCTTAAATTCTTTTTAGGACAAGGCAAGGAATAAATAAATAAGTACAAGCATACAAATGTATACATACATACCTAAAATAGGTCTCTGGATTTACTAGTGTACATCCCTAGAGTCAGAGCACCAAATCATTTAAACAAATCCAGGTCATTTTATCTGACAGATCCTGTGGTAAGAATAACAACAGCACCCACAATAACTACTAACGTTCATTTTGCATTAACTATGTGCCAGGCACTGTGCTAAAAAATTTTTTTCTTTCCTTCATTTGACTTTCATGATGTCCCTTAAATGTAGATACGATCATGATCCCCATTACAGCTAAGGCTTAGAGGAGTGAAGAAACCATCTCAAGGTCACATTTCTAGAAAGTAGCAGAGCCAAGATTCAAACCTAAGATAATGAGGACCTAGAGCCAAAGGTACATACTGTTTCTGTTTCTTTAGGGCAAACAGAAAATACATTTTAACATGTTATCTATGAGAAGAATTAAAACCCATGGGGGTGAACTAAAAATCTTCAAGTAGTTATTCAACATTCCTAGGTGCTCAACATTGTGGCAAGAAATTTGGAGTATATAAAAGAGAGAAAAACACACCACTGAAGATTTTATTCTCCAGCAAGAATATGTAACTGACAAATGTATGTGAGAATAGAATGTACACAAGTCAAGCTAAATAGGGTACACAATAAATACTAAAACTGTCTAAAACTTTGTAGCCTAAGAAGGACGCAGAAGGCTTCTAAGAGGTGGTAAGATTTAGGCTGACCCTTGAAGAATGAATAAAGAAAACACTGGAGTAACATCATGGGAGGAAACAAAGTTGAAATTCTCTAGGCATGAAGTAAATAATTCCATATGTTTGGCCCCTCAAGTACTACCTCTTAGATCAACTAGTAAATATGCCTAGTAACTTCTGGAGAGGAAATGCATATACATATATATTTTTTAATGTGGAAAAAAGTAAAAAAGCAGCAAGAAATGTACAGGCATTACAATAGCAAGCATACAGTTGTTGGAACAGAAAATCAGAGGTGTGCAACAGTGACCCTCTCAAAAAAGAGAAAAGTCAAGGATATATAGGACACAAAGAATTTGTCAGCCAGCATTCTGTCATTTCTGTATTTATAAGATGAATCAACAAGCATGTCTAAGCATTTTTAAACAATAAAAAGTGCTGTTTGTGGAGCCATAAGCCATATATCATGGTTCCATTGTGAACAGCGATGACTGGACTCTTGAAGTCTGTTTGCCCAACTGTAAAATGGAATAGTACAAAACTTGTCTTTGTGAAAATCAAATCGGATAATTTACATAAAAATGCTTTCTAAACCATAAAACAAAATAATGATCCTCATAACAAATCATTATCAAATACAAAGTTAACATAGTTATTGGTGATAATCTGGGAAAAACATCTTTTTAATGTTTGAATGCCCACAACAAACTCAGCAACTTCTGCTTAAATTTTTCCAGTGTCAGGGAGCCCCCATCCATACAAGACCATGTGTCTCATTTAGGAATGACTTAAATCAAACTAACGGCTCCCTCTTGGCATTTTTGCTAATTCCAGTTTCATCTTCTTGGATGCCCAGAAAACAAAAAATATTCATGTTTACATATAGTAGCACTTCAAATGTTTACAACCAACAATTACCACCTGTATAAGTTTGTTCTCATACTGCCATGAAGAAATACCCAAGACTGGGTAATGTATAAAGAAAAAGAGATTTAATGGACTCACAGTTCCACACAGCTTGGGAAGCCTCACAATCATGGCAGAAAGTGAGGAGGAGCAAAGGCATGTCTTACATGGCAGCAGGCAAGAGAGTGTGTGCAGGGGAACTCCCCTTTATAAAACCATCCAATCTCATGAGACTTATTCACTATCACAAGAATAGCATGGGAAAAACCCACCCCCATGATTCAATGACCTCCCACCAGGTCCCTCCCATGACGTGGGATTTATGGGAGCTACAATTCAAGATGAGATTTGGGTGGAGACAAAACCAAACCATATCAGCACCATTGCCTGTCAACCAAAGTTTCAAACTATTCTCCAAAACAGTTCTACTTCCTTCACCTGGTCCATCTTTGTTAACTGCCTCTATGAATCTAATTTAAAAGATACTTGCTGGATACTTCAACATTCAGTAAATATACTTGAATAAATGCGTACACACCTCCATCAAGTATACCCTGTAGATACTAATCCAAATAGGTATTGAATAAGGGAAGGTAACAAATGTTAATTGACTGTATACTGTGTCCCCCTACAGTATGCTAGATGAGAAAAGCATTATTTGTTACTTGTATCTTATCTGTCTCCCCAACCTGAGTACAAGCTCCATGAAACAAGAATATTTGTCTTGTTTATTTTTGTATTTCCAACTCCAAACATAGTGCTTGATAAACAGGAGGTGTTTGTTAAATTGAATTAATTCAAATTAATTTAATTAATTAATGAGATACTGCCCTACAAATAGATTGGAAAAAAACATAGGTAGCAATTAGAAGGCGGGGGGCAGGGATAATGTGTGTTAACTGAAGGCCTTCAGGGAAAAGGAGATTTCTCTAAGCCCCCTTCCTCACTCACTGCCCCCTTCTCCCTACACCTCAAGCTAATGGAATTTTAATCAGATTGGTCCCAAGATTCTGGGATCCTAGTTGGGCTGTGTTTTCAGGTAAGAAGGGTCTATCACACTAAAATGTCACCTGTTAGGTGTGGCTTGCTCTTTTATAGTGGGCCAGGGTAACTGGAGTCTAGAGTAATATTGGCCATATGTCATTTTCCACCATTAAAACCTCAAAAATGCCAATAAGTGTTGTGGGTTGAACCGTAATCATTAGAATTGTTTAGGGGAAGAAGACAAATTGGATTGAAATTGGCCAGTTTCAGAGAAGCTGAAAGACTTGACCCAAGCTTTGGAGGACCCATGGATGTGAGTTGAATGAGAAGGCATAAACAAAGGGGTGGGGATCCCTTTTGACTAGAGCTGGGCTCAAGATGTGAAAAAATGTAGAATGATTTGCTGATATGTTTAGACTTTATTTTATTGGAAATGGTAAGCTATTGAGGGATGCTCAGCAGGAGAGTGGCATGACAGCATACTTTTTGGAAAGAATAATCTAACTGGCCTTCATGATACTTTTCAAACAGAGGAAATTCTTTCAGGGATTTGGGTCAGGAGCAAAATACTCTAACTTAAGGTCTGCCATTAATGTGCATGTTTACATTGGATAAAGTACTTCTCTTTGATGGGTCTGACATTCCCTGCATATAAAAAGAGAGGTTCTCAGGGTAGTTAGTGTGTTTCATTACAAGTGCCAGCTCCACATACTCAGCCATGAACCTCTGCAGCACTATGTTTGGAAGAATTCTGAGGCCCTATCTGGGCTCAAAAGAATAGTGCTGCCATCTCCTAGTAATGTCTGCTAGGGGTGCATGAAGCTGGGGCAGAGGCAGACATATTTCCCATAGGCAGCTGATCAGAGAGGCAGATTTTAATAGCTTTGCAACCACTTTTTCCCTGTTAACATCATTTGCCATCACTCTCCTTTCACTAGCCTCAGCGTTTTTCTATACCTTATAATTTCTGGGGTCTAGGATTGAAATTTTCATAGTTTTCCATGACGTAGTAGAGTAGAAATGACCCATAAAGTGTCTCCCAGCCTGACATTCTGTGTTTCTACCAGAAACCAATTAAAAGCAAGTCTCAGTGAACTCCTGCTCACTTCTGCAACTTGCCTGCTATTGGACAAATGGTCAGTCATGGAAAAATCTGTCTCAAGAACAAGGTGAGGAAACCATTTAAGTCCATGCAAATGTCCTCTTAATAGGTAATGAGGCAAATCATAGTAGCTGGATCTGCTGTGTAAGGCTAAAATGTCCCTAAATAGAATATGGCTCCAAGTTCTCCATGGGGCACATGCATCAGCAATTATGTAAGTAAGTCATCAAGAGGAAGCAACTTCCACTCAGCATCCTTTACCCCTAGCAAATCACAGCTGTGCAAAGAGGAAAAGTAGGGTAATGAGATGGGGTCATGGCCTGGGAAGCAAAAGAGGCAGAATAAAAGGAAGTAAGCAGGACACAGGCCTTATCTCTTACCACTTACTCTCAAATATTTATCTAGCCTTACTGAACTACATGTGTGTTGCCATGATGTTTCTCTTGTCCAGGCCTTTGCACATGTTGTTCCCTTCCCCGGAAATGTTCCATGTTTCTTTAACATGGCTAACTCATGCTCACCCATAAGGTATTAGCTAGGATATCACTTCCTCCAAGAAACCTTCTGAAACCTGGATAAGGACCTATTATTAACCTAAGATGTTCCCTATTATATCATTGATAACATTACATTCTAATTATCTTATTTATCTGTCCCTCACTAATAAAACAATAGTCAATGTCTACTGAGTGTGTAGTGTGCGTCAGGCACTGTACTAAATATCTAACATGGATAATTTTACTTAATAGTACAATGATTCTACTAGGCAATATTCTCATTTTACATATGGAGAAATAAGCTCTGAGAGATTAAGTATCTTGACCAAAGGCACACAGGTTATGCATCTAGTGAGCAACAGAGCCATTTTTAGAACCCATATCCATTCACATGCTCTTAACTATCATGCTACACTATATCCCCTTCTGTGTGACAGGCTCCATGGAGCAAGGACTGGAACCTAGTCACATGGTACACCAGCACTGGTGTGCGCAGCAAGTAAGTGATAATCGACATGTATAAGTTGATTGAATGAAGGTATGAATAAATGGAGGCATGAAGGAATTTAGTTACTGCACATTAGAAACAAAGTCTCTACAAGGTCAATTCGTTTTTGAAGAAACAGGGCTAAATGGAGGAAATTACTCTCATGAAGTTGTGTGTTTCTCACGGTAGCCAGAAAAAAAAAAAAAAAAAAAAAAAACCAATTCACCCTAATATGCAAAGGAAGGCAGAAGTCAGAACCAGAGCAGTACTGTCTAGGGTCAGACCCAAGGAAGAGGCCATGAATGGAAGAGGAGGAAAGGGTTCAGGAGCTGGAGAGCTAGGAATAGATAAGGGTGCCAGGTGCTAGAAAGGTCAAAAAGAGATGAGTCAAGAGAGATAATAAGCTAAGGGTTTGGCTGGAAGTCTGTTGTCACTAGTGCTGGCCACACCACATATGGAATGGGTTGGTTGCCTTAGAGTCAGGAATGGATACATAGAGATCTATGTTTATCAAGATCCATATGGCTTGGATCAGAAACCGATCTCCAAACCTACACCCTCCCGACTACCAACTGCTACTTTTCTAAGCAATGTCTGATGCTCACATTTCTCTTCCTTTATTTACATAAACACAGATTCTGCAGACTAGCCATTTTTTTTCACAGTTGTTCTCATGGTAGGAGTTTCAAATGCTCCAGTCCAAGACAGAAATAAGCTAAGAATGGAGGCAGGAATAACCTTTTGTAAGATCTAGGATGGGTGTTGGGGAGCTCATTTATAGGTTGTCTTATTTAGTACACTGGGACTATTAAGTAAGCTCATTCCTACAAAATTCATGTATGACCCATAGCTGCTAAAACTTGTTTCAATTCTACAAATGACTATTTGGTGCCTTTGGGTATGAGGCACTAACCTGGAAAATACAGAGATGAGTAACAGAAGGCTAAGTTCTACAAGTCCAGCAAAAGATTCAAAGGAAAGCCAGAATGGAGTTTAAAATCAGATGACCTGAGTTCAAGGCAAGGCCCTGATCCAGGTCTTCTAGGCTACGATAGTGACCAAATCCTCACTAACCCTGTGATATTGGACAGGTTAAATAACCTTACTGTGTCCTAGATTTCTCATGTGTGAAATGTGAAATAATTACCCTTACCTAATAGGGTTGTCATAGGGGTGAAATGAAATCACACATGAGAAAACATTCCACAAAACTGTAATCACCAGGCATATTTAACTGTCGTTACTGGAAATTCCTCTGCCTCTGTATGGTACCACCTCATTTAATAAGCAAGTTGAGCCAGATGCCTGGGATAGAGATTTAAATCCCATGAACATGAACTGTGGCAAGTAAAAGAAACCTCAATAAAGTCCAACGAATCTAAACCAATGTGTATTGAGGACTTAGGGCACACCAAACACCGAAGTGTAATTAAGCCTCATAACAGTTGTTTCAGATAGGTACAGTTCCTTATTTTAAAGATCAGAGAGATAAAGTATTTCAAATAAATAGAGCTGGTATTTATGCACAGGTCAACCAGTCTCCTCTATACCAAGTTGCCTTTTTTTGAGGGGTGGGGAGGCACAAATATTTTATTTTGTCTGTAAATGCAGCCTGCCTCACACCCTGAATCAGCAACCCCCAGACAGTTCTTCGCAATGGAACTCTATATTCCCTAATCCAATGATATAACTTTTCTCCTCACTTTACAATTCTGTTATTCTGCAAGAAACCCACAAGGGACAAGCATATCAGCAATGAAAGGAAAGGCATATATAAGCCAGTTTCTTTATCAGCCTCTCCCATGCCCGTGGTTTCAGGCTGTGAAGGCAGAATGGGAGCTGTAAGTAATGCTAATAGCATCATCCAAGGAGCACCAGATAACAGCCCCCACAGTCCCAAGAAGGAATTGCTTTTGTGCCATATGGGTTTTTGTTACCACCCTGGCTGGGAGATGAGATTCAGCGAATCAGATGAGATGGGCTTAGAAACCCCACTAATTCATGTCTGGCCCACAGCTCCCAAATGGGGGTCCAGGAGCAAAAAAAAAAAAAAAAAAATGAATTCACCCGTATATTTCTTGAGCAGAGGCTTTGAATATCCTTGCACAGAAAGAAAGATAAACCACACCCTGAAGAATCTGGCATTATTCACCTTGTAGGAGAGAAAGGTCAGGAGAATAACCCTGTCATCGCTGATGGGCTTCCTTGGGGCACAGAGGGCTGGATCCTTTTGAGGTCTGAACAGGTGCAATAGAACTCTGGGGGAGAAGCTATAAGGAGGCAGAGTATATCCCAACATGAGGGGAAAACTAACATACCATAACGGAGTGGATCCACCCAGGAGAAAGTGGGTACTCTGCCACCAGAGTATTCAAGAAGTTAAGAAACCTCAAAAGGAATGTCACAGAGCATATCTATGCATCTGGTGGTGGTGAGATGATCAAATGATACTCAATTCTTTTCCAAAACTGGGATTCTGATTGGAAGTAGTATAGTACAGTGGTTAAGGTTGTAGACCCTGGAATTAGAATTTCTGCTTCTCAACTTATCTGTATAACCCTACATAAGTTACCTCGCCTCTCTGGGCTTCAGTTTCTTCTATGAAATGGGGATCATAATAGTAGTCCTCTTACAGAGTTGTGAGAATCGGATGAGTTAGTGCCTGTGCTGTATTTAGAGGAATATTTGCCATACAGTAAGTACTCAGTAGACATGTACTAAGCACCTACCAAGTGCCAGACCCCCTTCTGGTCGACAAGGATGGACAATCATATACAATAAAAATAGGTGTCTACTCTCATGAATAAATAAATACCTATAATTTCAGATGTCATTACAGCTATGAAGAAAATAATGGAATGTAATATAACAATGTCTTTGAGGAAGGGGCAAGGAAACTAAATAGGGAAGGCAAGAAGAGTTTCTCTGGGCTGAGTTAGCCAAATTAAGAGAAGCAGCCAACATTGCTGAGTTGGGGGCATCCAGGCAGAGGAGATAGCAAACACAGAGGCCCCAAGGCAGATAAAAGCTTAGGATGTTAAGAACAGGAAAAAAAAAAAAAAAAAAAAGAAAAAGGCCTGCCTGTGTGGCTTGGAGCTGAATGAAGGAAGATGGAAAAAAAGATGGGAAATAATATCAAAGAGGTAGGCAAGGCCCTTATCCCATGTATGATTTACAAACATTTTCTCCCAATCTGTGGGCTGTCTCTTCATGCTGTTGATTGTTTCCTTTGCTGTGCAGAAGCTTTTTAGTTTGAGGCAATCCCATTTGTCTATTTTTGTTCTTGTTGCCTGTGCTTTTGGGGTCATATATAAGAAATCTCTGCTCAAACCAGTGTCGTGGAGCTTTTCCCTTATGTTTTCTTTCAGTAGTTTTACAGTTTCAGATCTTAAGTTTAAGTCTTTCACCCGTTTTAAGCTGATTCTTATATACATGGTGAGATGAGGATCAATTTTCATTCTGCATGTGGATATTTAGTTTTACCAACTAAAGGGAATGAAGAGAATGTTATTTCCCTGTTGTGTGTTCTTGGCACCTTTGTTGAAAATTAATTGGCCACAGTTGTGTAGGTTAATTTTGGATAAGGAGTTAATATCCAAAATATACAATTAACTCAAACTACTCAATAACATGAAAACAAATAACTCTATTTTAAGGGCAAAGAAGCTGAATAAACATTTCTCAAAAGGAGACATAAGAATGGCCAACAGATATATTAAAAAATGTTCGACATCTCTAATCATCAGAGAAATGCATATTAAAACTAAAATGAGATATTACCTCGTGCCTGTTAAATTAGCCATGATCAAAAAGATGAAAGATAAGTGTTGATGAGGATGTGGAGAAAAGGGAACCCTTGTACACTGTTGGTAGTATTGCAAATTAGTACAGCCATTTTGGAAAACAGTATGAAGGCTCTTCAAAAATTTAAAAATAGAATTACCATATGATCCAGCAATCCCACTTTTGGGAATATATCCAAAGAAAATGCCATCAGTATGTTGAAGAGTTATCTGCACTCCTATGTTCACTGCAGCATTATTCACAATAGCCAAGATAGGGAATCAACCTAAGTGCCTATCAATAGATGAATGGATTTTTTAAATGCAGTATATGCACACAATGCCATACTATTACTCCTTAAAAAGCAGGAAATCCTTTCATTTAAGATAATATGAATGAACTTAGAGGACATCATGCCAAGTGAAATGAGCTAAGCACAGAGAGACAAATACCACATGATCTCATCTCGTTTGTATGTTGGATCTAAAAAAAGTTGAACTCAGAATTAGAGAGTAGACAGCAGACTAACACAGGAACAAAAAACCAAACACTGCATGTTATTACTCATAAGTGGGAGACGAACAATGAGAACACATGGACAAAAAAAAAAAAAAGTAGAGAGTAGAATGGTGGTTACCAGAGGCTGGAGGTGGGGCAGGGGGTTGTGGACAGGGAAAGGAGAGATGTTGGTTGAAGTTTCAGTTAGGAGGAAAAGGTTCTGGTGGTCTATTACATAGCATGGTAATTACAGTTAATAATTCAAAAGACTGGATTTTAAATCTCACCACAAAGAAACTGTAAGTATTTGAGATGATGGATCCACCTAATTTGATCATTTCACAATGTGTTCATGTATTGAAACATCACATCACATTGTACCCCATAAATATGTATAATTAACATTTGTTAGTTAAAAATAAAATTTTAAAAAGGCAAGTGAGAACAATCATGTAGCACCCTGTAGGCCACAGTGAAGAATTTGAGTTTTATTCTAAGGTGGCTGGAAGCCACTGAAAGTTTTACGCAGGGTAGGACACTATACAACTTATATCTTACAGAGATCATGCACTTGACTTATAAAAACACTCCATGCAGGATCCTTCCTATTCTTTCCTGGTTTGTAGAAATCTCTGAGGCCCTAAAAGAGCTCAGAGTATCAAGACAAAGGTACCCTGTTGGGGCTCCTAGATAATCATATGAGTGGCCCCATGCTAACCAGGAACACTAATGTTGAGTTGTTATGGAGTAAAAATTCACTTTATTTTATTAAGCCAATGAGAAAAGAAAGGAGGAAAAGAGAGAGAGACGGAATAAGAGGAGGAGAGAGGGAGAGGGAAGGATTATTCTGGCTGTTACATAAAGAATTCAAATGTGGGGTCAGGGAATGAACAAAACAGGAAGTATAAAGACCTTCTCTTTATTTCCCTTGTAATACTTTACATAGAACAGGTTCGTTCTCTGTCTCTCTGTCTCTTCTTTCTTCCTTTCTTCCCTTCCTTTTCTATCCCTTTCCTTCCCTCCCTCCCTCCTTCCTTCCTTTTCTTTCATGGATTCAGTCAAAAACCAGCTAAACTATGGCACGAACAAGTAGACAACCACCTTCCTTATAGACGCTGGCTGTTAGGGAAAGCAACAGAAAATAAAAGTGGCAGCCCAAGTTGACCTAAGACAACATCCACCAGGTACCCTACTTCCCCTTTCAGAGCTAGGTTTGATCTTTTTTTCATCAGATGATGATGATGATATCAAACCTCAGACTGCCTTTTCGAGTCCTTGGCAGATACGCAACATTGGCTTTCACACCATTGACTACAAAAATAACAAGGCACAGGTAATTGAGTTGCAGTCTGTAACCAGGTAATTGCTAACCCAGGACCTCCTTTGCCAGATCCTCCTACTGCCCAAGCACTATATGTACATTACATGTGTATCTATATTCATATTTACTCACCAAGAAGCATTCATTAAGCACCTACTTTGTACTAGGCACAGTTCTGAGTGCTAGTTATACAATAGTGAGGCAAATAGACAAAATCTCTGCTCTTTTCTCACTACATTAGTCAAAAACCACGGACAAGACAGATGAGACCCCTAGTCTCATAGACAAATACACATCATTTCAGATGCAGATAAAAGGTATGAAGAAAATAATAGACTGTAATAAAATAGAGTGTCTGAAGAAAGAGCAGCAGAATGCAAAGTGGGGCAGGCATGGAAGCTGGCATTCTTTTACGGAGGAAAGAGGTGATAAACAAACAAGCAAAATGTGTCCAATGGATAAAGCAGGGAGGATTGGAGCAATGATGAAAAGAATATTAAGAAGTGGGTTAATATAAAGTCATGTTTTCAAGCCTTGTGATTTTTTAGTTATGGGGGTCAGGGAAAAGAAAGGAGTCAAGGATGTCTCCTCTACTTCTGGTTTGTGCACTGGATGGTGGTGTCATTTAGGGACACTGAAGGAAAACCAAATTTGTGGGGAGAAGATCCTGAGTTTTGTTCTGAACGTTCCTCTGTGATGTTCAAATGGCGACATCAAGTAGATAGACAATCAGCATCAATGACATTCAGATGATAATTGACATTTTGAGCATGGATGAGAGTTCATAAAAATCTGATCTACACTGCAGGTTGGTATGACAGCCCCATGAATTTGTTCATGAACAGACTCTTCTACTTTCCTCTCTACCATCCTAAGATTGTGGCCCTTGTCACATGGTTCAAGATGGCTACTAGAGCTCCAGCTGTTAAGTCTGGTCAGGCAGGAAGCACACTAGTGTTTCCTCTCTGCCATTAGCTTGCTTTTAGGCCTTAGCAAACTCATTTCCCCCCTTGGACCAGTTTGTCCATTCAATTTGTCAAGTTCCTTGTTGTTTTATCACATCCTGACTCTGTGTCAGAATGGGAGTTGACTGGCTTCCAACCAAAGCCAGTCAACTATTTAACTATTTCATTTCTTATTGGTGCTTTGGATGGGAGTTTTCCAGGGAACTCAGGGTAATTGCTTTTGTCTCTGTTTCCCAAGGGGCTGACTTTGATTCAACACTCTTCTCATCTGCAGGTTAAATTTGGGTCTTTTATCTGCATTAAACTTACCGGGAACTATCCTTTATGTGGTGTCAAACACATCACATGGCTGGCTATTACTGGCTGAATTTAGACTCGCCCTTTCAGCTAAAGATCCTGGGTTGTGCTCTGATGGTCGGGGCTGAGCAAGTTGACTTTCATCTCCCTTGGGATCCTCTCTCTGAGAGCTGTGGGTAATCTGAACCAGCCACTGGGTGTCAGCATTGCTTTGTCCATTTAAAGGAAAAGTAGATATTTGTGTGGTTTGGGAGTTGTTCATGCAGTAAGTTTGGGCTCTAAAGTGAGCACAACCACTTTACAATTCACATTTTACACAATTCACATTTTTTTGGCACTTAGCATCAACCAAAGGAGTTCGCTTCTCTATCATTACATCCGGACTCTTCCTGCTCGTTTTGGCTCTTCCATGTCCCTCACCTGGATTACTGCAACAATCCCCATTTCCAGTTTTGTGTTGCTGAAGTCTATCTTTTTCATCCAGTTACAATCAGGACTGTAACAGGCTCATTTGCTAATAATAAGCCACCTGTCACTGGAGGTTTGCAAACAGAAGGAGGAAAACTACCTGGCAGGAATTTTTGTAGAGAAAAATTTATGTAAATAAATGTATTATAAATATAAATATAAACACACATATATGTTATATATATGTATATAGTCACAGGTTATAAATATTTGGTCCACAATGGCCAGCATATATAACAATGGTCCCATAAGATTATAATAACCTATGTTACTATATCTTTTCTATTTTTAGATATGTTTAGATACACAAATACCATTGTGTTACAATTCCCCACAGCATTCAATATAGTAACAAGTTGTACAGGATTGTAGCCTAGGAGTCATAGGCTATACCATATAGCCTAGGTGTGTAGCAGGCTATACCACCTAGGTTTGTGTAAATATGCTCTATGACAGCAGTCCCCAACCTTTTTGGCACCAGGGACCAGTTTTGTGGAAGACAATTTTCCCCAAGCAGGGAAGGGGGATGGTTTCCAGATGAAACTGTTCCACCTTGGATCATCAGGATTAGATTCTCATAAAGAGCACACAACCTAGATTCTTTGCATATGCAGTTTGCAATAGGGTTCATGCTCTTATGAGTATCTAATGCCTCTGCCGATCTGACAGGAGGCAGAGCTCAGGTGATAATGCTGGCTCACCCACCACTCCTGCTGTGTGGCTCAATTCCCAATAGGCCACAGACCTGTACCAGTCTGTGGCCTGGGGTTTGGGGACCCCTGTTCTAATCTATCTTTTTAGCAAAGAGAAAACATGTCTCAGGCTCAGAGCCTTGGCAGGTATATTAGCTATCTATTGCCACATTAATATCTGTAGGAAACAAAAACAACTCAGTGCCTTTCAACAATAAACTTTTATTTAGCTCAGGAATCTGCAGGTCTGTCTTTAAGACCAGTGGTTCTTTGTTCTTGGTCTGGACTTGCCTCAAAGTCATGCGGTTACATTCACAGCTGGTTCTTGGCTGGGATGACTGGACTCTGCTTCATGTATTTCTCACATCTTTTCAGTACATTATCCCAGGCATGTTCTCATTGCAGAGGAGCTATCCCAGTCACACAAGAGTTTTTCACGCTTCTGTATGTGTCAAATCTGCTAAAACAACATTGGGGAGAGCAAGTATTATGGCTGAATTCAGAATCAAGAGATGGAGACAGGAACTTGCCTAGTAGTGAGGGAGACCCAAAGTCATGTGGCAAAGAATATGACACAAGGTGGGATGAAAGATTCATTAATGGTCTCAGTGCATCTACTAGAGCAGGCAAGGTTGTCTAGCCAGAATTTAGTAGAATGTCTTTTGTTGTATTTTTTAAACTTTCTTTTGTGCCAAGTGATGAAGGTTTTCAATGACGGTAGTAATACAAAGTTTCTTTTAAAAAAAAATTTGAGACAAATGTAGGTGAATGTAAAAAAATCTTTTTCAAAAAGTAGGCCATGTTATACAGAGGTATGGCAAAAGTTATCAGAGGAAGGGAGTGACAAGTTAAGAAAACTGAAACAGGATGACTGTAATTGAGACTGCAAGCAGGGGATGCATGCAAGAAATGTTGCAGACTAAGCAAAATCAGGTTACTCCATGTGAACACACTCCATGTGTTCTGCTGAGTTAGGCTAAACAAACATTTGTTGAGTGTCAACTACCTGCTTGACACAGTAGCAGAAGCCCGAGTAATAAAGATGAAAAGCTCAAAATCCCTCCTAAGGCAGTAACTATAACTTTGACATACTAGGGTAAACTGTACATATAGTTGATGTGTTTCTGGGTATCTACAGAAATAGCACTAAGCTTAGGCTGGGAAGTGGGCTTTGGGAAAGGACTTCCCAGAGAAGGCTCTGGAAGGATGAATAGAGGGTGCCCTGGTGAAAAGGGTAAGAGAGGCAAGAAGGGGGGTCTCCAGGCTTGAGCCTTTAAAGGCATGCAGAATATAAAATTCTCCTTGGAAATTTCATTCTTACTGAAGCCCCATGTTTGAGACAGGACATGAGACTAACTGTTGGGAGCAGCCAGGCGTAGACATCTCTAAGCTAGAATTCTGAGTTAGGCAGCTTAGAATTTATCCGGTTATGAACAACAGGGAGTCATGGAAGGTTCTTAAGCAGAGAAAAGACACAGTTAGTTTCGTGTTTTAGAAACTTGCCCACCTATCCCTGCATCCAAAGAGATATCACATCTAATCTAGCCACATTTAGCTATATATAAAAATACACAAGCAGCCATGTGTCACTTAATGATGGGTATACATTCTGAGAAATGTATCATTAGGCAATTTTATTGTTGTATAGACATCATAGAGCAGGGGTCCTCAAGCCCCAGGCTATGGACTGGTACCAGTCTATGGCCTGTTAGGAACTGGGCAACACAGCAGGAAGTCAGTAGCAGGTGAAAAAGCATTATCAGCTGAGCTCTGCCTCCTGTTAGATCAGTGGCAGCATTAGATTCTCATAGAACCATGAACCCTATTGTGAACTGTATATGTGAGGGATCTACGTTGCATGCTTCTTATGAGAATCTAATGCCTGATGATCTGAGGTGGAATAGTTCCATCCCAAAATCATCCCCCAACCATCTGTGGAAAAATCGTCTTCCACAAAACTGGTTCCTGGTGCCAAAAAGGTTGGGGATGGCTGGATTAGAAAGTATTAGAGAAGTGTTACAATGTACACACAGGTCAAGACATCACAGAATAACCCACCCTCCATGCCCAATGTACCCCATAAATATACACAATTATTATTTGTCAATTAAAAATAAACAAAATTTAAAAAGAGAAAGTGTTAGAGAAGTGTTAAAATACTAGCACCCAATTCAGAATGTCTCCCTGAAATAATTAGACAGAATGAAATGAAACTGCAAAGGGAATAATTGTCTCACTTCATAACTCAAATGTGATTTATAATAGTTTACATATAAAATTACCTCTCCCACACTTTGTGATAGACTGCCCTAGTTCTCACCATTTCTAACTTTTTTGTGAACAAAGGATGCTTCCAAAATTGTCTTAGGCTCATTGCCTAAAAACTAAAGCCCAAATTTGATTCAAATTCTAGGTGTTCCATGATTGGTCCCAGCTTTGCTCCCCGCCCCACGCTTACACCCACTGTGTCCCTTTCTTTGCATAACCAGTGCAACAACCCAACTTCTTCAATGTTTATTGAGCACCAATGGCAGCTGCTTAGGCAGAGCCAGACCCTAGCTAGGAGGTGGGGGAAAAGGTGATGATTAAGATGCAGCCTTCACTTTTATCAAGCTCTCAGCTTCTAAGTAAAACATGGAAGCAGCCACATAACTCTACTGTAGTGTGTAAAAAGTAATTCCAGAAAACTATAGAAATCCATAGGATTGGTATCTAACACAAACAGTCAGAAGTAGGTGAAGCTTGATTTAGAGATGGATCTGAAGGGGAATTCATGCCATTATATAAAACGAAACCTCTCCAGAGTCTTCTGCCACAATCTGGAATAAGTATATACTTTTCTGGACCCCTATCGTACTTCATAGCACATCTTTTATTATTTATACTTCATTCATCCATTCTCTTAGACTATTGACTCTTTGAGAACATTGATCATTTATCTTTGCACCCACCACAGCAGTAGCAGGTCATGAAGCAAATACCAGATACTGGCACATGTTTGGTTGATGGATGGGTGAATAGATGGATAAATGGATGGGTGAAAGAGAAGCTTTTGGCACATTTAAGTGTCTTCATTTAGGTAGCTACCTAATCCTGCGATTCCCAAATCTGGCAGCCCATGAAGTGTATTTAGGGAGCTTTAAAATATATATTCCCTGGGACCTGCTTCCTTAGAATATTCTGATTTGACAGACATAGGGTGGGTCTCAGTAGCCTATATTTTAGCACACTTACCAGAAGATCCTGATGCATCTGGTCCAAGGACTGCATGCTTAGGGATCATAAGGCTAACTCACCTGAGTGTCACATTGGCTCCATACTCTCACGTGTCCTATTTTTGAGATGCTTGGCCTCCTTTTCACCGATGGTTCAGCCTACTCAGATAATCTGCAAGAGGAAAGTACACTTATGACTTGGAAAATTCCATAAGGAGTTGTAACAGCAGTAATAACAATAATGTACTGCCTGCCATGTATTATATATCTAGCAAGTGTCTGGCATTCTGCTGAGTGCTTTTATAGATAGCCGCTTATTTAACCCTATCAGCAACCTTAATAAGGCAGGTGGTCTTTGGTATCCCCAGTGTACAAATGAAGAAACAGAGGCACAGGGAGGCTAAGTAACCTCTCTGTGGTAAGGTTGGAACTCAAATGCAATTCTATCTGACCTCAGAGTCCCATGGCCACAGTGTGTGAAACTGATATGCATAAGAACCACATAGGTATCCAGACTAAGAAGAGAACTGGTGGTCATGGGTCAAACTAAAGTTGGAAAAACCTCAGCTGGTTACAAAAAAGATCTTGGTGGAAGAGAATTTAAGGAAATGAAAAGAGCACTACACAAGGAAGTTAAGCAATCTGGACTCAAATCCTAGTGCTGTCAACAACAAGAATAGTAAACACTCATATATTGTTTACTATGTGCCAGCCCCTATTCCAAGTGCCTTACACATGGAAACTTACTTAATCTTCACCACAATCCTGTGAGGAAAGCACTGTTATTACCACCATTTTACAGTGAGGTAACTGAGGCACAAGGAGATTAAGCTAGCAAGTAGAGAACTGGGACTCAGACCCAGACCACCCAGCTCCAGAGCCCACCAAACGCTTAGCCACCAAGCTGCATAGTAATTAACCATGTAAACTGCGGATGTTTCCATCCCTTCCCCTCATCTAGGCCTCACATAAAAAATGGAGGAATTGGCTTAAATAATCCTCACTGTTTCTTCCAATTTTGCTATTTTGGAGTCTAATTTTATTTAAAGATCATTTAAAAAGAGTACAGATTCCCCTTTTCTGTAAGAATATTTTTAAAAGCAGATGATTTCTTGAGGAAGAATTAGATAAAGTCTTGCTTGAAGCCAGAGAGTGCAGTAGGCAACTTCTCAAGGTCAAGAAGTGATGATAGCACAACCATAGGAACTTTCTAGGAACCAAACGGAGTGAGCTCCTTGCTTCCAAGGACACGTTACAGCCAAAGACCTTAAAAAGCTCATTGTCCATCACCAAACATTTAACAGGTCCAATTTTCCTGATTTCTTTGAGAGACACAACCTATAACAAATCAACTCAAGCAAACAAGAATTTCAAAGGAGTCAATGCAGTTGGTTTAAATCTGGGCTCTGTTGTATAAGCTATGTGACACTGGGTAAGTTACTTAACCTACCTGAGCCTTGATTTCCTCAATATTAATGTCAGACAATAACAGTACCTTTCTCACAAGGTTGTCAAAAGATTTAAACAAGATAATACGAGTAATTGTGGATACAAACAATATTAATAATAACAATAACAGCAATAATAAAATACTTGCATACTTAGTACGTAGTGTTAGGTATTGTTCTAAGCAGTTTACAATCTCCTATCCAATCAAAACAAATCTATAGCAACCTTGAAAAATGATCTCACACCCTCTTCTTGGACCCACAATAATGGGTAACTCACTAACTTCCATGTTCTGTATCAGGAATATGATCTTTACGAGGGTGGAAATCATCCTTTCTCATTACTTATGTATCTTCAGTACCCAAATATCTTTTCCCAAATAATTTCTCAAAAATCGTATGAGTGAGCTATACGAAGGATTAACCATACTGTAGGTTTGTTATTGTTATTAATAGAAATAGTCAACATCAATTGAGCATATATAACATTAGTAACAATTGTAATTAATGACATGAGCACATGTAATGTACTACTCTATAGAGATAATCTCACATAACCCAGTGAGATATGACTATTTTATTATCACTAGTTTTCAAAATTCCTATATAGTAGAACAGGGATGTCAACTAAGCAGTCTGACCCTGACATTTGTGTCCTCACAATGCCATATTGTCTCTATGGGATGTGACATGTCAAGGACCCTAGCAGTTAGCATCCTTCACTTTGTAGTAATCTGCTTTTCATCAAAATCTTTTCACTGCATTCAGAGTGAAGTGCACACAGCCAGAATATTACAGACCTTAATGTCTTGGTGCCCATCATATATTTTCACTGAGCTTCCCAGACTCCAACTTAAATAACGAATTATGCCCTGCAGTTCAGGTTCTGCACGAAGTTGCAGATGATGGGTTGCTGGTTAGCATGTCAGCTGAAGGACAATATATTTTAATGCAAATGCAATGAGCTGGAATGACAGTATTTTCTCCAAGAGCCTTAACTAGGTTAGCATGACCTCCGAAGGGGCCAGAATTATAACAGCAAAATTAGAATAGAAAGGCTTATAGAGATTTCTATGCTAATAAGCCATGTTTTACTGGAATGATTATGTTCAGCACAATGGCCATTTGCCAACTTCAGGCTGGGCATCGTTTGGTCAGGTGACCAACAGAAAATTATGAGTCAGAAAGTGCTGGAGAGGCCACATTCAGGAGATGACATACTAAAAGTGGTGACAGAGGTAGGATAAAAGTGATAGGACCCCAAAGAAAGAGGGTTTCCTACAGGAATCGTTAACACATAGTTTTTCTGCTTTGCAGTTTGTGTCATGCTACAGTAAAACTCCTGTTTGAGAGTTGATAAGAGCCATATCCCCCTGGGACCTGAAAACAGGGATGAAAGAGGAGAGAAAAACAAGAAAATAGTTCTTTCCAGATTGAGGAATTTCCTCACACATCTAATCATTGCTCTGGGCTTGGAGACTCTGTGTTCTGCTGAAATGAGGGGGAGAAGCCATTTTCTTTGACTCGGCCCAACACAAAGCTCATCATCCCTTACTTACACTTGTTTTGCTTTGGAATTTAGAGAATTGACAGAAGCCAAGCTGATTAGACACAGAACTTTGTACAGACAAAAACTAAAAAACAATTAAGTCTGACTTTCTCTAGTCTACCCACACATGTGTCTGTAAGAGTCAACAACAATCAAAGAAGGAAAGAAATTACTAAAGATGTACCACAGTGCCCCTTGGTATTTAAAATGCCATCTGAACAGATTGTTAATGGTTTTCAAAAGATGCCTTGGCACCTCCCCAGAAATACTGAATCATAATCACAAGGGGAAACAGAGGAGAAATGATCTATATTTTCAAACTAGCTGTCCAGATAATTCTGATGCAGGACTAGATTTAAGAATCTCTGCTTGGGACCATAATTCCTCACACAATCACACATAGGGAAAGCAATGATGCTATTCTGGGTTCATCTTACCCAATATTCAGGCTCTCAGTGCAGAACAAAGAGCCATGATCCAAGGAGCATAGCTGTTATCTTTCCTGACATTGACCTCAAACAACATTGAAACAATTAATAATCACCTAGCACCTAATATGTGCCAGGGACTTTTACATATATTATTTTGTTTCAGTCAAAGGTTAATGCCACTTAAATATTTAAAAATTCAATATATAGAGATATTACTCTTAGAATTGTTTAAGAACAACAACATTACAGGTAATTGGATCACACCATTTTGTTCACACTTCAACTTGGATGAGGATGTAAAATGAATTTATTTTTCCTGTAACTGAACTTTCATTTGTCTATAACCTTCATCTGACAGTTGGTAGAAAAATAAACTAAAGGACCAATCTAGTTTAAATCCAGTCTGTTCTTATTATCTGCATGGTCATTTTAGGCGATGTCAGTCTCGTTTGAATAAAAATGGCTTAATCTCTCATATAACCTCTCTCCGCTTCTCCATGAAGATAAATTCTGGGTACAAAGGTGATGAGAGGGATATATGGCTTACAAGCATTTGTGGTGGTATATAGGGTAGTGGGATGGCCTCCTGCCCACTCTGGTCCAGGGAGCACCTCCCTTGGCCACCTGGTTGCTGCTTGCCCCTCTGGCCTTCATGGTAAAATGGAAGCTGGCCTGACATACATTGTCATTTGTTCTCCTGCCTCAACTAGTATACAGAACTGGGGTTACCTGAGCTTCATCTTGCCTACTGCTAGCACCACAGACTTCTCTAAGGTTTGGCTGGAATTCCACTCACCCTACCTGGTGGGTCTGACCTGCAGTCTTTACTGCAGTGCCAGTTTGTCCCAGCCACTGAAACCCACTCTGGCAAGATCCCCAAGCACACTCTCAGGTTGCTTCCAAGTCCAGCCTCCACCACACTGGACTAGGAGTTTCATCCTGTGCCTTAGGCTGGGGAAGAAGCAATCAGCGTTGTCTCAATTTGTCTAATGAGCCTCCTGTGCCAAAGCCGAGATGAGAAAAATAGGACCATGTGTCTTTGTTCTGTTCTCCTGCTCTCTTCTCTTTTCTTCTGATTCCCACTATCTTTGAAGCCGGAAAAGGATAGGCTCTTCCACTTGGCCTTCCTGTGGAGACCTCTGGCTCAGATAAAGCATGCCGTTGATATGCTAAACAGGCAGCTAAAAGAATTGAGGCAACCCTCTCTCCAGACTACAGCCTGGTTATTTGTGGATGTTCCCTTTGGTCTGTATCCATTCTCTGGCATTCCTAATCTCCCTCTTCCTTCCTTTAAGCAATAGACTCCTCTAATCATCTAGGGCAAAGCCCAGGTAATTAGGAAGACAAAAGATAAAAATATAAATGATTTTTTAAAACTGTTATCCCATTAAATATGTGTGGGTGACCTTTATTATTTTCAAAAGCAGTTTTACTTTGTCAGGAAGGCAAAATGGATCTTCTTATCTGCATTTTACAGAAGACACTGAGGCACAAATTGTCATACGATTAGTAAATGGTCTATAATATTGCCCCTTTGTTTATCCCTTGAGCCATCTTCTTTTTATGATACATATTTCTTTTCTAGATTTAGTGATTTGTTTAGCCAATGCTGCTTCCTCAAGTAATGAGTCCCTTTAGATAGGACCAAGTACTACATGGATAGTCCCATTATTTTTCCTACTGACTCACACCCTACTGCCATAAAAGGCCCAAGTCAGACATCACTTCTCCCACATCACTCTCATTACCTTGCTGTACTTCGAGATTATTTTTAACCCGTCGTTCAAACAGCATCATTTGACCCACGATCCAATGTAGCAATGTCTTGTGTTCCTTTCTTGCTTATCTATCGTCTGTGCGTATCTGCTCTCGACTGGTCTGTCAGCTGTTCTGCAAGCTCTTTGAAGGCAGGGACTGTGCTTTATAAAGTCCACTCCAGCGGTTAAGACAAGAGAGATTCTGAGGCTAGACTGCAGATTCAAATCTCGTTCCTGTGCATGTTACTTAACATCTCTGAGCCCTTATCCCCCTACCTCCCATCTATAAAATAGACATAATAAAATGCCTGCTCACAGGGTTTTATTGTGAGGATTAAATAAATATACTTACAGCATTTAGAACAGTATAGGCACATAAGTGCTATATGCCTGTTAGATATTTTTATTCTATTCTCCTTAGCACATAAGACTTAGTTCAAAGCTGATACTTGTTAGTGCTCCTAAGTTGAACCATTTTCTAATAAGATTATTTTTTAGTATTTTTTTAAATAAAATTGCTGAGATACAAACCTAAATTTGTCACCAATAAAATCCTTCAGCTAAATGAGTTTATGAGAGTCTAAGAAATAATTTTGTCACAAAAATAGATACTGCCCCAAGTGCCACATCTCACACACACAAAAAGACAATGATAAGGATGACAATTTTCATCATATTCTGACATCTCTAGATTACACAAAGAAAGTGTTTTCTTGACTTTATCCCCTTTAAGCATCACCATACCTCTGAGAGGTTAGTAAATCAAGGACTAGGGCTTTCATTATACAGGTGGCGAAACTGAGGTATAGGAAGTCAAGTGGTTGAACCACATCACTGAGAAAGTTATCAAGAGAGGCGCGGCGGAACTCAGAACTCTCCTACCCCTAGATGCACATCAGTGCCCCGGGCCAGCCAGTAACAAAACACTTTAATGACCATCGGCTCACCTGATCCTCATAGAAACTCCCTGAGCTTCTCAAGAAAGGCATTATCATCCCTATTTTGCAGGCAAGGGCACTGTAGTTGTGGAGGCTAAAAAATGGCAGAGCCTGGGCTATAGCCCAAGCCTTCTGATCCAGAACGTCATGTTCCTTTATCTCCTCATAGCACCCAGCAACGCTGTGCAGTAAGGCAGGGGAGGCTCTGCAGCCTGTTGCTTCCAAGATCTGTTGTGGCCTCGGACCGACTTTGGTCTGGATCCCATCTTGACGCGTACTAGCTGTGTCACCTTAGTAAAGTTGTGGGTCTTTCTGGGCCTCTGTTTCCTTATCAGTAAGATGAAGATAATACTAGCACTTTCCTTATGAGGTGGAAAAGAGAATTAAACTGGATAGTCTACATGGATGCTGTCTGCACAGTATCTGGCAACTAGTAAGAACTCAGTCAATAAGACTGTGGAAAATACCTACTCCTCACTCATCCCATTTTGACGTGCAGGAACTTCAGCTACACCAACATTCCTGGCTTCTCTTCCCATTCTCACTCACATTCCCCATGGGAGAGGAGAGATTTATCAGAGTGACCGAGATCTGCTCTCGGTCATGCATTAGGTGCAACAAAGAAGGGCTGAAAACCTCTTAGGCACAGTATTAACATATGCCTTGTTGCCTCATCCCTAAGCCAAATCCTCCAACCTCATATTCATCAATAATGGACCTGATATTTTGATATCGATTGTTCTGATTCTTATATCTGTCTCTTCATTGGCTTTGGACTTAGAGAAAGATGTAGGTACCATCTACTGATTCCCTAAAAGCCAAACTAATATTAGCTGCTGCTATGATCATTAATATATAAAAATTGTTTCCAAGCAGAATTGTCAAAGGTCTCCAGCTTTTTGCTTTACATCAGATGGCTAGCGTGGCTCTAAAAGGTTTGGCTGCTACATTTCAGCAGCAATCAATGGTCTGCAGCACCGGAAGTCAGATACGAACCAAACCTTCGTCTCTAACACATCCCAATCTTAAACCTTAGGAATGTGTTGAAGACAAAGCTGACTAGAGACATTGTCTTAGGGCCTTTTTCTGTGAATGAGCCACTGTGGTTAGGAACCAAAGTCCAGCTAAATCTCGGTCATGTTCTCAATGTTCTGCTGGGTGGGTTTCACCTTGGGTGTCCCCAGAACTTTGTCAGAGCAGATGGGGAATTCTAGGAGGGTGACTAGACGTTCAGTCTATTTTGGTTCTCCAATTCTCCAGCAGCCTGGTGTCTGAGCTGAGAGAAATGGGTTGTTTCAGAGTACAAGAGAGTGCCAGTGGCAAGGGCTTCCACATGTCTATTTCTGGCTGTCCCCTGATGCTGTGTCATTGGAGGAGCTGTGACATCACAGCCTCTGCCTTTTTCCAAGGCCTGACACTATAGGTGACTCACAAAAAATGTCTGCTGTGGATGCCAGCCTGGCTCAATACACACAGCCAGAGAGAGTCACACAGAGTGACTTGTGCTGGGGTTGGGTAGGGGCAGGAAGGTAATCATAATATCAGGACTAGCAGTGACCTTAATTGCCCTCTAGTAAAAACTTCAAAAAAAGCCTGAGCCCTTGGCCACAACATTCCTATAAGTGGACCTCTATGCTCTGTTTGTACATCTCCAAGGATGTTGAACTCATTACCTCCCAAGCTACTTGTAACAGGATGATTTAAGCCCCAAGTAACAGTATATTTAGGCAAACTTTTCAAACTTCTCAGTTAACAACAAGCCTACAGGGAAGTGACACCTGAGTTGGTTAGGGGCTCAAAAGAGTCACCAAGGACCAAGGTCCTTTCTACCTTGTTGGAAATCGGTGATGGTTTTCCTCATTGGATCAAGTATCTTTGTCCCATATATACTATCAAAAGCAAGATGAAAATTGATGCACACAGGGGGCTTTTCCTCATATCTTCCCCTTTTAGTAAAAGTAGAAAACCATCCCCAAACTCCAGGAAACTTCCCCCAGTACCTCACTGGTCAGAACAAGATTGTATGCTCATCCCTCCACCAATCATTCACAGACGAGCAGAGGATTGCTGCAAGTCGCCTTGGCCAATTGAAAATCATGCCTTGGAGACGGATCCACTGCTCTCTGAACAAAGAATAGTTTTATAAGCAAAGAGGAATGGAAAACAGCTATTTTATATATAGGCGACCAACCATGCTTGCACAGTAGCTCAATTCCCTGCTGAACTATTTTAAAATTCTTTATAATACTGAGCTGAAAACTGCTTATTAATGATATATCTCCCTAGCCATTGATTCTAGATCTACTCTGATGGCTCACACAAAATAAACACAATATGTTTCCATATGGTAACTTAAAACATATCTGAAAACTGACCATTCTATCAACATGTCCAGTTTTTTCAATCCTTCAGCATAGTACAGAACTCTAGAGGCAGACTGGCTGGGTTCAACTCCCAGTTCTGCTAGGTGGCCCTGGGAAAGTTACTTTAATCTCTTTGTACCAGATTCCTCATCTGGTACAAAGGACCAGCTAGACGGTCCTGGGAAAGTTACTTTAACCTCTTTGTACCAGATTCCTCACCTGAACAATAAATACAATAGCAGTGCTTACCTCATAGAGCAGTTATAAGGATTAAATAAGTTAATATATATGAAACACTTAGAACAGTACCTGGCACAAAGTTGGTACATTTAAGTGCCCACTATTACATAATAATTCAACATTTTTGGTTGCTTTCTGCTTTCTTCTGTCAGCATTCCATTTATCTGCATCTCTGTCAAGAAGTTGAAGCAGGGCTTTAAATCTAGATTTCTCCATACCCTATATTTTATTCTCAGTAATTCAATATGCCTTCATATTTTCAACCTGCATTTGTGCAGTTGATTTTTTTGAACTTCAATGAGAGCCTTACATTTAACTCTATTTCATTTCATTGAAACACAACAGAGCTGAAATATGCCTATCACTCCAGGAAGGAGAGGTAGAGTGTCAAAACCTTAAATTCACCAGGCTAGACTGTTTTCCTCTCTAATGTTGCTTTCCTCATCCTCTCCACTTCTACCACATGGATTTCTCCCATTACTAAGCCTGGTCTAAGAGCCTCATATCAACTCTGTGAGCTTAGGACAGGGCTATGGGATGAATTCTGTTCCCCTGGCTCCCTATCCCTGCCAAATTCATATGTTGAAGTTCTAAACCCAGTATCCCAGAATGTAACTATATTTGGAGATAAGTTTTTTAAAGGGGTGATTAAATTAAAATGAGGTCATTAGTGAGGACCCTAATCCAATCTGACTGGTGTCCTTATAAGAGGGGGAAGTTTGAACACGCAAAGACACACCGGGGCACACACTGCACAGAGGAAAGATCAGGTGAGGACACAGCAAGGAGGCAGCCACCTCTGCAAGCCAAGGAACACTGCTGCAGAATGAAATCAATTCTGCCAACACCTTGATCTTGCACTTCCAGCCTCCAGAACTATGAAAATAAGCTTCTGTTGTATAGGCCACCCCAGTCTATGGTTTTTTACCCCTAGGAAACTAATACAGGCAGCCTGAGCTGGTTTCTTTTGCTTGCAATTAAGAACACTGCTTAAAATGTACCACTCATTCATCCTTTTCCACCTCCACCACCACTATGATCACCTTCTTCACTCTCCCTGTGTCTACCTCTTCTTTAATTATCCAGAGCAATCTTAATAGTCATTTATCTGCCTGGCCATACTTGCTTTACCAATCAGGGTGCCCTCATGGTCCATACTAATGCAAGTGTGGCTCTCAGAAAATCTACAATAGAGTCATTAGGAGGAAGGATTTAAAGTACACAGTCCTGGGCCCTATCAGGCCAATGGAAAGGCACTAGATTAGAAAGCTTCCCAGGGATTTTGTATCCACCTTTTGAAATACCTTTCTGTTACTAACAATTTGTTACTTTCATGGCTGGCTTCAAAAATCACTAATTGAAATAATGAGAGAAAAACTTGCCATGAGGACTTGAAAAAGTCATTTTTTCTTTCTGGACCTCAGTGTTACCTTTAGTATAATGAGGGAGGTAAAGCCTAAGATCCCTTAGGTTTAGCACATTTAGGTCAGAAATAGGCATCATAGCAGGTTGATACTGATGAATTTTCAAATCTCAAAACAAATTAAGATAGCACTCTTTCAGGTAAGGAGTAGTGCAGACAAATAGTCTAGAGAAATAAGAATCTAGACCAGACAGAGGAAAACATTGGCCAATGGTCAGGCAAGAGGGTGAAAAGACAAAGTGTGGTTGATGGTCAGGCAGTCCCTTATAGAGCGAGTAACACCTCTAAGGCCTGCTACTCCAGGAAGCCCACCTAGACTAAATAATGCAGCAGGGTGATCCTCCTGTTTCCGATGCGGTGACCTAGGAGTGACCAAACAGAAGAAGAGGACCACAAGGCTATGGGGCTGCCTTTGATCACAAACATCTGGGAATAAAGGCAGACGGAGGAGAGAGACTGTTTGTGCTAAAGAGGACTCAGCTGACCTGACCAGCTGGACAAACATTAGCTCTGATACCCAAGTGTCCCCCAGTGACTAAGAGTGCAGCCAAGCTCTGGAAATTAGTTCTTCCTTCCCTTTGCATGAAAAATTGGCCAAGGGTCTGTCTAATGGGGTGAGGGAGGAGTGGAATGGAGTGGACAGAAAGGGATGGAAGGGAGAAGATAGGATGGAGGTGGGGATGGGGAATTGAGAGGGAAAAAAACAGCCCTGGGAAAAATCACCCTCCCTAGGTCAGTCAGCTGTGCTATCAGAGGCTGTAGCCAGCTTTGCACTAATTCATGGTCTTGTTCCAGTTTTGAATATACCATATAATTTTAAATCACGTTGTATTTGTCATTCTAAAAGCAAGGGACCTTTTGCCTTTGCTCACAAAATGAATGAAAAATCCAGTCATGCCATTAAATATAAAATGTCACAAAATCTAAAATATGGAGGGACAGATTGCTCCAAGGGAGTACTACCACTCTGGAATCCTAAAATTCAGGTCCTATTCCAGGCTTGTTTATTAATTTGCCATTAATATATTCATTTATTTGTTCATTCAGTCAACAAATATTTATTGAGAACTCTCAGTATGCTAGGCATCATGCTAAACACTGAACAAGACAGATTCAGTTCCTTTCCTTCCAAGGAGTTCCCAGTCCAGTGGAGAAGACAATAAACAAAATACAAATAAATACTTATGCAGTTTCCTTTTGCATAAGTGCAATGGATGAGAAAGATAAGTGGTTATGAAAATGTTTGGTGGTCATGTCTTTTCTATGCAGAGTGAGGCAAGGTTTTCCTGAGTTCTGAGCTGGCCCTACCACTGCATCACATGCATGACAATTTTACTGGGCTAGTTCCTTCCAACTTGTTAGGCCTCAGTTTGCCTATTTGTAAAATGGCAAGGCTGTACTCATGAACTCCAATGTGTCTTCGTTACACTATGAGTCTTACATCTGTGAGTATATATAAATATTGTATGTTCATATAGAGCCCATTATGAAATGAATTTAGGGAAACTGGCAGAGAAAACGGGGTGACTTTTCCCAACACAGAGACCACTGGAACACAGCCCTCACCAGAGAACAATTTCTCCTCCCAGAACCTGGTCAAATGTACCATTCTGTCAGGGCCATCTCTGGGTTGGCAGCTTGCAAATTTTCTTCTCCCAGCCAAAAGCATATTTCACCAGCATGCAGGCAGAAATGACAGAATGGGGTTAGGATGTGGATAAGAGCGACATGGTTATTTTCATCCACGGCACTGCAGAGGAGGAGGTGGCCAGGAATCAATGATGGTAACTTTCTGGGATGAGGCAAGCAGAGATGCCTATGAGGATGAGGATACTGTGGTTCACTGGGGCACATAGGTTCAGAGTCTAGAGAGATGGACTCAATCAGAAAGCTCAGACTTGAGATCAAGTCTTGCAATGAAAATTCTATTTAATCTTAATCAAGTCATGGACTTCGTCTGGACCTTGGGTATACCTAAGAAAAAAAAGGATAAAACCACTTCCTTTAACTAATTTGATATTAATATGAGAATACAAATTTTGTGCTATATGTGTTAAAGAGATATTAAGACAGCCATCTCTGCTTCTCATTAGCAAGGATATAACTACAACTTTGGCTAAATGGGCTACCTTCAAGAAAGAGCCTCATAATAGGCCAGGCACGGTGGCTCATGCCTGTAATCCCAGCACTTTGGGAGGCCAAGGTGGGCAGATCACTTGAGGTCAGGAGTTCAAGATCAGCCTGGCCAACATGGTGAAACCCCATCTCTACTAAAAATACAAAAATTAGCTAGGCGTGATGGTGCACATCTGTAGTCCCAGCTACTCAGGAAGCTGAAGCAGGAGAATCGCTTGAACCCAGGAAGCGGAGGTTGCAGTGAACTGAGATCGCGCCTGTGCACCCCAGCCTGGGTGACAGAGCGAGATTCTGACAAAAGAAAAAAAAAAAAGAAAGAAAAGAAAAGAAAAGGAAGGAAAAAGAAAGAGCCATATAATAGAGGTAAACCATTCTCTCAGGACTGCTATGATAAGAATGTATGCCAAAGTGCTTTGTAAACAGTAACACACCATGCAAATACAAGGTATTATTGTAATTATAATAATTATTTTAAATTCTAATTCTAATTATTATTATGATTATTATAATTACCATACATGAATTATTCTTAACTGGGTGGGTGGATACATAGTTAGAGAAATGGATGGTCAGGCATTTTCAAAGTCACATAAAAGCATATGCCCTACCATCTAATTAATAGAGATTGCAAAAAGATCTTCTCTATGACTTTTGGCATGGAGAAATCTAAGAGAAACAAGCTCTCTATACACCCACATTATACATGAGTTGAACTGTGGTAATGGTCTGTAAAATGTCAATAATTTAAGTGAATGGTACAGAGCATTTTAATAAATATTAAGTTATTTGGTATTTACAACGTAATGAATTAGTTAAGAATGGTTCCATTATTCAATTTGGCAGATATGAAGACTAAGCTAATGAAGGTTAAGAAATTCACTACTAACCACAAGGTTTCAGAGAAATAAGGAATAAAATAATCTAAGTTTTTTTTTGTTTCAAAAAGCAAAGTTCTTTCAAAGGCAACCTATCCTATAGTAGGAGAGAAACTATTTGCAAACCATCTATCTGATAAGGAATTAATCTCCAAAACATATAGGAAACTCCCTATAACTCAATAGCAAAAAAAGAAAAAAACAAAAAAACAAAACAAAAAAAGAGCCCAAACGACTCAATTTTTTTTAATGGGCAAAGGATTTAAATAGATATTTCTCCAAAGAACACAAAAATGACCAACACATATGTGAAAATGTGTTCAACATCACTAATTATCAGGAAAATGAAACTCAAAACCACAAAGAGATATCACCTCATACTTATTAGGATGGTCATTATTTTTAAAATTAATCAATTAAAAACAACAACAAAAAAAAAAGTGGTAGCAAGAATGTATAGAAATTGAAACCCCTGTGCCCTGTTGGTAGAAATGTAAAATAGTACAGTCTACTGAAAATAGTATAGATGTTTCTTTAAAAATTAAAAATGGAGCTATCATATGATCCAGCAATTCTATTTCTACATACTTATCCAAAACAAATTGAAAACAGGATTTTGAAAGATAATTGTACTCCCACATTCAATGTAGTGTTATTTACAATAATGAATAGGTGAAGACAACTTAAATGTCAATCGATAAATGAATGGATAAAGAAAATGTGAGCTATATCTATATATTACATATTATATATGTGTATAATATATAATATATGTTATATATTGTATATATAATACATATATACAATGAAATATTATTCAGCCATAAAAAAGGAACTCCTATCCTATGATACAATACAAATGCACTTTGAGGACGCAATGCTAAGTGAAATAAGCCAATCACAGAAGAACAAACACTGCGTCATTCCACTTATATGAGGACTTTCAAGTAGCCAAACTCATTGAAGCAGAAAGCATAATGGTGATTGCCAGGGGCTGAGAGGGAAGGGGAAATGAAGAGTTGCTGCTCAGTGAGAATAAAATTTGTCACATAAGATAAAAAAATTATCTAGAGATGCTCTATACAACATTGTGCTTAGTTAAAAATACATTTGTGGTTAGTAATAACAACACTGTACTGTTCATGTAAAAATGTGTTCAGAGTGCAGATCTCACGTTATGTGGGGTTTTTTTTTACCATAATAATAATAAAATTTAAAAACCAGGGCTCTCTCCACTGCTGCTGTACTTATTAAGATTAATTACCCATAGTTTGTTATGTCTTGTGTTATAGCACAATGCCTATCTTGGCAAAAAAATTTTAAAAACAAGAAACTATTCTTATTAGCAGTCTAGAGCCATATATTATAATTGTGATGTTTTCAGAAATAAAATCATTAAACAGCAACACAGAAGAAAACATATCGAGAGAGGCTAAGTGAGCTCCCATTTTGCAAATGAGAAGCCTGGTTTAGTGAGGCATTATAACACATTAATAAGTAATAATTGAGCTTCCATTCCTAGATCAACATTTAGCTTAAAGAAGTTGTTTGAAACCAGGTTTTATATCAAAACCACCTGGGAATGTTTTTTAAAAATCTCACTTAGATCTGGATTCTTAAAACAAGAGGTCAAATGCACAGAAATAGAGAATAAAACAATAGTTATCAGAGGTGGAGTGGGGAGGAAATGGGGAGATGTAAGTCAAAGGATACAAACTAGCAGATATGTAGGATGAACCAGTCTAGAGACCTAAGGTACAACATGAGGACTATATTAATAATATTGTATTGAATTAGGGATTTTTGTTTTAAAAAGTTGATTCTAGCTGCTCTTGTCAAAAAAAAAGTATGTGAGATGATAAATACGTTAATTTGCTTCACTATATTGATCATTTTAATATCTATATGTATCCCATATATCATGTTGTAAACCTCAAATATGCCCATTAAAATGTATTTTTTTAAAAAATGAATGCCCAAGTCCTAGCACAGCTTCTGAATCTGGAATCTCTGGGGGTAGGGCCAAGGATTTACGTTTTAAAAAGCTTCTTTGGTGATTCTAATGCACATAACCTTCTAACTTGTTTCACCCATTGAGTTAACCTAAAACCTTGGTTTATATCTAGTATATTTTATCTAATGAAAAACAAAAGGTGCTTTAGTACAGCCGATGGTCAGTGTAAATCGATTTTGATACAGCCTACCTAAAAGGATAAGGAAGGATTATCTCACACGAATATCATTTCTTTCTTTCTTTCGAGACAGAGTTTCGCTCTTGTCACCCAGGCCGGAGTGCAATGGCGTGATCTTGGCTCACTGTAACCTCTGCCTCCCAGGTTCAAGCAATTCTCCTGCCTCAGCCTCCTGAGTAGCTGGGATTACAGGTGCCTGCCACCATTCCCTGCTAATTGTTGTATTTTTAGTAGAGATGAGGTTTTGCCATGTTGGCCAGTCTGGTCTCAAACTCCTGACCTCAGGTGATCCACCCACCTAGGCCTCCCAAAGTGCTGGGATTACAGGCATGAGCCACTGTGCCCGGCCATGAATATCATTTCTTTTTTGAATATAACTGGTTAATGATGAAGCTCATCAATGGCTGAATATTAATTCTCTGTGAAATATCTATGAATGCCTTATCTGTAAGGATTTTCTCTACCTATACAGCCCAAAAATAGTTTTTCTCAAGTTAAGATCTAAATACCTCATGCTTCTTGGAATGGAAGATTAATCTTTTTCACTGCAATGTTTGCCTCATCACATTGGATTCACAAGTAGCCGCCTGGGAAAAAAAAAAAAAAAAAACTGGCCGTGCCCGGTGGCTTACGCCTGTAATCCCAGCACTTTGGGAGGCTGAGGTGGGCAGATCACGAGGTCAGGAGATCGAGACCATCCTGGCTAACACGGTGAAACCCCATCTCTATTAAAAATACAAAAAATTACCCAGGCGTGGTGGCGGGCGCCTGTAGTCCCAGCTACTCGGGAGGCTGAGGCAGGAGAATGGCGTGAACCTGGGAGGCAGAGTTTGCAGTGAGCTGAGATCGCGCCTCTGCACTCCAGCCTGGGCAACAGAGTGAGACTCCATCTCAAAAAAAAAAAAAAAAAAAAAAAAAAAAAACAAGACTTTTCAGCAAGGCTGGCCCTTCCCACTGTACTGAAAAGGTAAGTCACAGAGATCATGGCACAGCGGTTGTTTCTGCTCTCACCATGAGAATACAAGGAAAGGAAATACCAAAGCCTGTTAGGTTAAATGCAAATCATCAAAACTTTATTATGAAGAAAAAAATGTCATTCTTTTCATCTTTGCTCTGTACTACATATCCATGATCTCCTGAAGTCCCTTTGGTGTTGTCTTCTCTGTTTTGATGCTAAAGGAGATGGCTCACAGCCACGGAGCCAGTAAGCAGTGGACTGCAACTCAAACACAGACCCTGTGACCCCAAAGCTTGGGTTCTCTTGACCACTGTGCTGTAGTGGGGCCAGGAGCAAAATGCCTCAAGCATTGCCTCTGCCCCCAAAGAGCTAAGGGTTCAACTGAGAGACCGGGCATGGACACAGGAAAAGTGTCCTATTTTAAAAGTCATGAAAATATTAAAAATATATATTTTACCATCTATTTGTTATTGATCACTGCTCCTAAGTTTTGTTACATTATAAACAGAAGTATTAGAAATGCTAGTATACAGAAAACCAAACACCGCATGTTCTCACTTATAAGTGGGAGCTGGACAATGAGAACACACAGACACACGGCGGGGAACACCACACACTGGGGCCTGTCACAGGGTAAGCGGGTGGTGGGAGGGAGAGCATCAGGAAAAATAGCTAATGAATGCTAGGCCTAATACCTAGGTGATGGGTTGATAGGTGCAGCAAACCACTATGGCACATGTTTACCTATTAACAAATCCTGCACTTTACCCCAGAACTTAAAATGAAATTTTTTTAAAAAATTTTAAAAAAAGAAAAGTTAGTATAGTTTTCTTGAATCTGGGCTCTAGCATCTAATAGCCTGATTTGAACTGTGACTCTTTTACCACTAACTACAGATCTAAATGCTTTCTGCCAAAGCCTTTAGGGCTAGATGTGTTTCCAAATACAGGATTTGGAGATGGGGTGTGCAAGGGCAGGGTGAGGAAATTAATATCCAAATATTACACAGCATACTGCTAACCCTAGTAAGGTCTGGAGCAGTGCTCCATAATTAAACACATAAATATTTCTACAGTAAAACATATGAATATTAACATTAAATGAGATAAATAATTATAAATAGTCTGATGTCAAGCTAGGACAAGCTTTGCCACAAAATCAGTTTAGGTCAGATCAGGTTTTGCTGCCAAACACACTCAAAAAAAAATTCCACTTCAAAGCCTTGTGGATTTGAGTAACTATGAAGCTGTAGCTTTTGGCCATGAGAGAATTAACTAATTTCTGTGTATTTCCATTTCCTCATTTGTAGAATGGTGAAACATATGTGCATACCATACATAATCCATACTTCATTTGCATTGAATGAATTAGTGCAAGTAAATCACTTAGAGTAATATATAGCTCATAGTAAATACTTAATACTACCAAGTATTGTCATTTTTATCACCTCTTTTGTGCCTTCCGTTTCTGGCATTTCATGATTTTTAAATAATTAAAAAATATTTAAATAAAATTTAAGGTTCCAGTACGAGAGATTTCTTGATGTATGATCTTACACAGTAATTGCCATAAGAATTCTACAGAACTAAATTGCTGGAAATGGCTCATAATAGAAAGATGAGCACTCCAGGATGGGGTGACCAAGAGCATTTCACAGAAGAACTGGGAATTAAGGTAACATTTTGTTCTTTGTTTTTTTTCTTCTTGTTTTAATTATACTTTAAGTTCTGAGATACATGTGCAGAATGTGCAGGTTTGTTACACAGGTATACATATGCCATGGTGCCTTGCTGCACCCAACCAGCCATCATCTAGGTTTTAAGCCCCGCATGCATTAGTTATTTGTCAAGCAAGTGAGGTTTTGACAGCTGAAAAGGAAGGGAATGCCATCAGTTAAGAAGTGAAAAAAGAAAAGGTTATAGAATCAGTCTTGGCTTTGAGTATAGCTCCAGAACTTACAAGCTATGTGAGCTTAGACGAGCCATTTAACCTCCTTGAGTCATATTTTCTTCTGTTTATAGATATGGGAGTAATAATATCTATCTTTCAAAATTATTGGGAGGCTTGGAAGCTATACACATTAAGCACACAGAACAATGGCTAGTATGTCCTCCATAATACTAGCCATTAGAGGCATATAAGCACACTTCAAGTTGACAGTAGGAATGCTTTCTTACAGCCATTACTTCTCACACCAGGATGGCCTATATTGCAAGGTATTGAGTTTCCATAACCATTGTTTTTTGAGAACCAGCTATCTTACTTGTTTGAGGAAAGGATTACCGCTTTGGGAGGTGACAAGAAAGGTGCCACCCACACCCATCTCTTCCAATGCTGAGACTTTATTCTCAGAGATTAATGAATTATTTTGGAGTTTATTTTAGTTCAAGTTTTCCTTATAATGTCAGAAATTCTAGAACCTGATAGTTTGTGGTCTAGCTCAGGCAAGGTTGGGAACAAAGAGGGAAAGTTACATAGGTGGTGTGAATCCAGCTATGGATATCTGTGAAAGCCAGAAGAGAATTTGGTCCCTAAGGGAAATAAAAGTGACATACAGTTTTAGTTACCTTTGACTCTTCAGGTCCTCTATAGCATTATTTGAAGATAGTTCTTGTCTTTCTACAGCAATAAAATTATGTTTTTCTTGTTTGTCTTTTGCTGCCCCTCTTCTCAGTTTTCCTTCCTTTCTCTTCCTCTGCTCTTCTTCATTTCCCTGCCACTGTCATTTTATCATATATATATATATATAAACATTCAACATTATCATCATCCAAAAGTGGTTTTTAAGGGGCCTAATGCTATGAGTTAGGAGAAGCAATATGGCAACTTCTCCTTCCCTGTGTATCCAAATGTCCTCTCAACTCCTTGAAGGAAATGCACCAAAAGAAACCAAGCTATTATTATCACCAACTGCCATAGAATACAGAGCACATTACTGGTGCCAAATAAATAATTCTGCTTGGCAAGTCAATAGAGCAAAAGTGTGACCAGCCTGCAGCCTTGTTGGGACACAGATTACATTGAAATAGAGCTTTGGAAGGAGCCATATATCAAAATAATGGATTATGACGTCAATACGGGATTCATGTCCTTTCAGGTGGGTGGTTTTAAATAATTCACAATTCATGGGGACATTGTTGGAAATAAGTATCCAGTCTCTCCCTTAAATTGTCCAGATTTGGATTGGCTAAGTTTAACTGGGCACATCATTACCAATACTTACAGTGATGGGATCTTTTGCTCACTTAGCTATTGTCATCTTCTGCTAATATAAAATTTGTCATAGTTTGAAAGTGGGAGCCAATATTTGCAATGTCCAATATTGATATTTATAAATTAATTTATTACTGGTATTTACTGAACACTATTTTGCACCTATGTGAGAGGACCTGCACTGAGGACTAAATGTGCATTGCTTGATTTAAATATACAATGATCCTACCAAGTTGATATTATTGTGTTCATTCTATTACTGAGAAAACTGAGGCTCCACAATATTAATAAAATTTCCTAAGGCCATACAACTGGTAATTGGTGGAACATGATCATTCTGACTTCAGTGTAACTTCAGTCACACCACTATTCTAAAATGCCTCCTGTATAAAGTTTATAAACAAATTAGTACTTTAAGATATTCAGGGGAAATGCTTAAGAAACCTCAGAGAAAATTATTTTTCAAACATTATCATGTAAGTTAGAAAAAGACACTTATATTTTTAATTATACGTTAATTTCATATCAGTCCCATCAGTTACTTAAATGAAATTAACCACGGATATCCACCAGGCAACACTGAGACTTGTTTAAGTGGGTAATACAAAACAACAAATCTCTCTATTTTTTAATTTGGGCTAGTCTTCTCGTTTAGTATGAAGGTCCTCTAAGAAGATTTAGAGAAGGGAGAGTCCTACAATTACATATATGACATGCACTGGCTTAGCAAACTCCACATTTCCAATGGAATGTATCCCAATTTTTATTTAGCCAGCTCCAGAGTTATAAGTCTCAACTATTTCTTACTCATGTTTCTGGACATACCAGATGTAAATAAAGATGATTCATATCCAGTTCTCCAACTTTCTATGAAGCGAATGACTGAGGACTAGAAAATGGTTTATTTTTCACGAGTGTAGCGCTCATACCTGCTTATTCTATAATTAGGAAGATGGTTACATCATGACAAAATTGTCGTTTTAACAAAAGGCATTTTTTGCTTAATGTAAGAGTTGCTTAGTGACAGAATTAAGATCAAGTTTCTCTCTCTTCTCAGATCTGCCACCAAATGGCTAACTTTAGGCAGGTTTCTTTTCTTCCTCTAGGTCTCTAAGTATCTTTCTAATTCCCTTTCGTTCCCTTCTAATTTGAACAGTTGAGATGATTCATATATGTTTGTAAATAAATATTGAAATAACAATCACATAAAGAATAAACATAACTAACTTCCAACTTGCTATCAGCTGCAACATCTCAGGGAGACCAGGCTTCTTCTTTGTCTGACACAGTTCAGTACCACGGACAGCAGCAGAACCACGTCTGGGACTGAAAGGACTTGGGATGAATTTATTAGCCTATGCCCGGCTTTAACTTGGAGAATGGTCTAGAGTTCCATGGTCTCTTTTTCAGAGATTAAGAATGGCAATATCTAACATATAAGTACTGGCATGGACTTGAAGATCGTCTATCAAACTCCATAACAATAGCATCCCTTCAAGGAAATGTTTGAAGCTTTAAATTAAGAAAGAAATGGGTATTCTAGGCTTCCTGGCAGGGCCACTGACAGTCAGTAGAGTTTGTATAGTCCCAATGAGTTGATACAACCTACAATCCACTATATTTATATATGGAAGGTCAGGCTCTCATTCCTCTCCTAGAGCAAATATCTGAGAAAGTTGCTTCAGCTTCACTTTTGATCTGGCCTAGTTTAGTAAATGAATCAGCAGCTTTTCAAAGGCTACAGAAAAGCAGCTTCAATTTAAATTGTCCTCCATCCATCCATACCAGTCCCTGTTCAATGAGCCTAGCTCCCTAGGCTGAGGAGGCTTTGCAGAAAGTCTGACCTGATGAAACTTACAGCTCAAATTTCCAATCTTCATTGCTTAGCCCTCATTTCTCAATGAGCAATCAATTTCAGTCAGTTACAACTGGCTCATCCCCAGAAGCTAGGATGGCTAAAGCTGAAACAGGCTTTATCAGGGTAAAATGAAAATGGAAGATTGAGTTCACAGAACCTACCTTGGTGAAGTTAGGTTGCCACCGTTTGACGCTTTTAAGTCACTACTGATCAGACATGGAATAATTGGCTTTAATAGTAGTTTGCAGCCCTGGCATTGTTGAAACTTACTTATGAAGAGGGAAAATTTAAAAAAATTATATCAAATACAAATATGGAACTTTTAAATTCTTACATGGAGAAAGGGTAACTTTCTTCAAAATAACCCAACTCCTACTTGCATTCTTGTATACATGCATGCATGCATTTATTCACTCATTCAACATATATCCACCATGCCAAACATTGTGCCAAGGAGAAGGAATAGTTAAAGAATCAGATTCTGGCCTCAAAAAGCTTACAGTCTACAAGTAAAGATGGATGAATAAACGTATTAAAGTATAATGACAGCAATTTTCCTTTAACCCTTCACATCCAGTTTGCCTGATGGGCAAATCTAACAGATATCACTTTAAAATATGACTTGAATTATTACTCTTCTTTCCATTTCCACTACGAATACAACGGTCCAAACTTCCATAATCTCTTGTCTGGACTACTGTAAAATCTCCTAGTATGTGTCCCTGACTTTGCTATCATCCCAATCCACAAATAGCAAGAATGAGTTACTGGCCTTTTAAAAATATGTATTAAACAATGTCACTTTGATGCTTAAAATGAGTGGATTCCTGATGAACTTAGAATCAAACAGCCTACAATGTCCTAGACAACTGCACTCATATCAATCTCATCTTCCTGACCCTTCCACTGGCCCACCTGGCTCCAGCTACACTGACTTTCCTTTGATTTCTCATTGTCTTCAATCTTTGCATGACTCTCTCCTCCTTGTCATATAGTCTTCAACTTAAATGTCCCAGTCTCTGAGGTGTGTTTCTTGTCCATATTATCTGTAGTCACTCTCTCGGTGCTCCCTACCACATCATTGTGCTTAATTCTCTTCAGGGAATTTACCTAATATCTTTTTTTAATATTATTTGTATATTGTCACTCTTCATAATCAGAGGAACCTTGTCTCCATTTCTTTTGCAGTGCTAGTACCTAGCAAATAGAATGGCAACACAAAACTTCATGCAGACAGAGAGTATGTCTATTTTGTTTCAGCTGATCCCCTGTGGCAATACTGTGGCATTTGTGGATTGCAGGTGCACCAAACTATTAGCTGAATGAAGTTTCTAAGAAAAATCCCTCATCTAAGACAATGAGTGAGACTCATGAAAGGCTTTTTATGTGGCATGGGCTCCTCATCTAAGATGATGGATCAATGAGATGGGCAAAATATCTTGTTCAGGATAGGTTCAAGGAGAATAATGATGGAGTAGAATCAGACATGTCTGTATTTTCTTTTAATAATAAAAATAAATAGATGGGTCTTTGTGGGGCATCAGACAAAATAACAAGAACAACACTAGGTAACTCATTGAGAATCATGGTATTTTGTAAGAAAAGAGCAAAGATTCTATCTTCAAATTACTCCCTCTGTCATGTATAAATTTGCATTATGTTTCATATATATAAACATATGTGAATACACGGGTGTTTGTGTTCAATCAAAAAAGTGGATGTCTACACGTGTAGGCAAAAATAACTTACCAATACAAATTTCTGAAAATTTCCCATCACTCAAGCCAAATATGTATTTCTTCAACTTGTCTTGGTATCTACAATGCCCATACTATTCATGACTCCTAGTTATCACATTGAAATCCCTCTTCTGACATTAAAAAGTTGTATAGAAGGTTCATACAAATTATTCTTACCTTTGCACAAAACTTTTAATTTTACAAAGCACTGACAAATGTATCACCGCCTTTTTTTCTCACAGAGACTATCATTCCCACTTTACAGATGAAGAAATTGAGATCTAGCAGAGATTAAACACTTGTGCAAAGTATAACAGCTGACTCATAACAATTTTAAGATCAAAACCTGGTTCTTTTGGCTCAAAGGAGAGATCAGAGCATAGGACTCCATAGCGGTAACTTTTGATAATGAAATAGTAGCAGGACCCTGGAAGCTGAAGCACTATGAGAAGGTTTGGCAGCAAAAAAGAAGGTTCTATATGTTCAGGCAGTGATCTCGGTGGGGAGTAAGTTTGCCTAAATCCAGGTAAAGGGCTTCCAGTGGTCATTTCCTGTACAGGGCAGCTGACCTCCCAGTTATTCCTTCACCACTGGGATTAATCCATCACCAAACTCAGAGCCATTTTCCAAGTTATTAATGATTTGTGAGCAGTGCTGCCTCAGCAAGAACCCAGCAAGGTGACTGCTAAAAACTAGGAGAGGACAAAAGAAAATGAGATAGGCAATGAGACAGCCAGCCAGGGGAACTCAAGACAGACAGAGCAGCAGAGAAACATCACAATAGAGATGACAGGGACTGACATTTCAACTGGAACAGAGAGCAAGTGAGCACATAGGACCAATGAGCAACTCACAATCATAATTCACCAATTCGTCTGTTGCTCAACAGTCACTGCAGGAGAGAATCCCTAATCTAGGACTTGAAATTTGGCCATTTATTTCCAAACTGTGATGGTAGCTTTCAATGGATTATGAAGTCAGAAATCCACTTACCTAAAATTCAGTTGAAAACTACCTTTGAAGTCCATGCTGTAGGTAGAGTCAGTCTACTACTCTAGACTGATCTCTAGGTTGAAATCAGGCAGTGTGCTCTAGATTTGCCCTGTGCTTTAACTCTAGCCATCTACTCAGCCCTGAGCATGACCACAAACTATACTGCACTCCCATTCGAAGAATAAAGTCTGACCCCAGCTACAAATAACCAGACTTACTCCTGAAACAAGACAAGACTAGCATCTAACCCTGGGCACAGACTTAGCCTTAACTCCAGCCAATGGTGGGCCTTAATCCTGACCATAGAGTAAGGCCATTCATTAATTCATTATTCAACAAGTATTGAAGTGTCTACTACTTGACAGGCTCTCTGCTAGGATACAGTAACTAGCAAAACATCCATGTGAGACAAACAAATAAAGGGTGAATTAATTATAATTTTTATGTATATTTACTGTGATGATTTAATTCCAAACATAAACTGACTCCAAACCTCAGCCACAAATTTACTTATGACCTCTAGGCACAGACTAAGCCAGACCTGAGAGTATCTACGTCATCTAAAAATTTGGTTGACTTACAGGAAGAGCTTCTTAAAACCATGTCAGACAATACTGAGATTAGGTGCCCAGTAAAGGTCTGACAAGCTGCAAAAGCAATCATTCAGTGTGTGGTGATGAGGAGAAAAGCCAATAACATTTCCCACAGTACTGAAACAGGCACAGACAAACACATAGAAACACACTCTAGTTTAGAAGCATCGCCCAGGGGTAGATGATAAAGTTTGCTGTGTACACATTAGTTACTGGAGCAATACAGAAAAAAAAAAGATGGAGACAGAAGATGGAGAGAACTATAGGACCTAGAGTAATGCTTGAAAAACTGTCCAGGAGTGAAGTGAGATTTGAAGGGTCAAGACATTTGAAGGAGTAGACACATAGAGAGTTCAGCACATCAAACTTGAAACATGGAATGGTCACACTGTGTTTCAGAGATGAGATGGGCAACTTTGGCTAGAAAATTCTTTGGGAACAGGTAGGGAATCAAAGAGTGAGTAGGACCATTTTATGGCCAGACCTTAAACAACAGGCAGAGACTCCCAAGAGCAAGAAAATATGCTTATACATTCAGTTCAGTTTGAAAACATTTACTAAGGTTCAGCTATGAGCACATTATGCATTTTTGTGTATCCAAAACTGAGTTTTTATATTGTAACATTGCTCAATTAATGTGGAAAGAACAAGAAAAAGAAGGAAGAAAAAGAAAAGAAAAAGGCAAGAGAAAAAGAAGAAAAGATTTTGTTAACCATTCTCCTCCATCAATGAAGCCCATGATAGTACCAGCAAGAACTTGGAAAACTCTCTAAAAATGGATCTCCTTGATTAAACCACCTTGAACTAGTCTAATTAAGCCTATGGAATTGGGGGATGGAAACCCTGGTGGTGAGGAATTAAATTGTGGGATAAGGTTTCTTTACCATTGAATTAAATCCCCCAGGGTTTAAAAACCAGAGAAAAGTCACTTAATAGATTTTCCCAGATTCCTTTAACTCCAAGAAAGTAAACCTGACTATTGTTCCCCTGTCACCTGGCTTTGCCAAAGAGTCAAGATATAGGAGAAGGAAAGAAAAGGATAAAAAAAGAGGAACTAATTCATGGCAATTGTGGTTAATCCCACTCAAAGCCTCAATCCATGTTAGCAGCTAATCCAGTTAGTACAGCTTTCATGGGAAGCTTTAATAAATCCATCAGCCTCTTGCTGGAATGACAGGCCCCTTAACAACTCAGCATTCATGAAGTGATCCATCATTAATGCAGCAGATCTGGCACTTGTCAGACCTTAAACATCAGCAGGTTTGCCCTAACCAAGGCCCTATTCAAGGTCAGAGTCTTCCCAGACATCTCCAACCCTTACTGAATCTCACCTACTATAGTACTTCATAGTTTTAAATCACCTAACCTACCTCTTAAGTTTGTAAGTTTGCATTTCTCAAGTCTTTTTTGAATGGATGATTAAACTGTTACTCCTAACCAAATTGCAAAATTCTTGAGATTAAAACTTGTTTTCTTATTTTATTTTAAAAATTTTCCCCATTGGTTATTGGGGTACAGGTGGTGTTTGCTTACTTGGCATCTCAAGATTCTTTAATTTGCCATTCATTTTATAGGGGTTCCTGAAGTGGTAAGAAAATCTTTTTTTTAAAATTATTATTATACTTTAATTTCTGGGATACATGTGCAAAATGTGCAGGTTTGTTACATAGGTACACACGTGCCATGGTGGTTTGCCACACTCATCAAACTGTCATCTATATTAGGTATTTCTCCTAACGCTATCCCTCCCCTAGCCCCCTGCCCCATGACAGGCCCTGGTGTGTGATGTTCCCCTCCCTGTGTCCATGTATTCTTATTGTTCAACTCCCACTTATGAGTGAGAACATGCAGTGTTTGGTTTTCTGTTCCTGTGTTAGTTTGCTGAGAATGATGGTTTCCAGCTTCGTCTATGTCCCCGCAAAAAACATGAACTCATACTTTTTTATGGCTGCATAGTATTCTTTGGTGTATATGTGCCACATTTTCTTTATCCAGCCTATCATTGATGGGCATTTTGGTTGGTTCCAAGTATTTGCTATGTGGATGTGTCTTTATAATAGAATGATTTATAATCCTTTGGGTATATTCCCAGTAATGGGATTGCTGGGTCAAATGGTATTTCTGGTTCTAGATCCTTGAGGAATTGCCGCACTGTCTTCCACGATGGCTGAACTAATTTACACTCCCACCAACAGGGTAAAAGTGTTCCTATGTCTCCACATCCTCTCCAGCATCTGTTGTTTCCTGACTTTTTAATGATCTCCATTCTAACTGGCGTGAGATGGCATCTCATTGTGGTTTCGATTTGCATTTCTCTAATGACCAGCGATGATGAGCTTTTTTCATATGTTTGTTGGCCGCATAAATGTCTTGCTTTACATTTCTATGGACCATCCCCAGAAGTGGCCTAGAACAGGGCTCAGTGCAGTACAGAAGCTCAGAAACTATCTGCTTTATTGGCTTACTAATAACATCAACCTCTTATCTACCAAGGCTCAACACATATACCAAAGAAATGGAATTTAGGTCCTGGTTTCTCTACTCTCTCCTAGGTTACCCTGATGTGCTTTGTTGCTATCTTGGGACTCTGGTTATTTTATCTTGTAAATGGAAATCCAAATTATTCACTAATTCTATATTACTCCTAGGCAAAATTGTGCGGATCAAATTCAACTCTAATATTTCCAATCTATTTTTAACATTTTTATTGTGGTAAAATACATACAACATAAAATTTGCCATTTAACCATCTTTCAGTACACAATTCTGTGGCATAATTCCATTCACAATGTTATGCCACCACCACCATTAGCCATTTCCAGAACTTTTTTATCATTCCAAACAGAAACTCTGTACTCATTAAACAATAACTCTTCATTTTCTCATGCCCAACCCCCATCCCCAAGTCCCTGGTAGCCCCTATCTACTTTCTGTCTCTATGATTTGCCTATTTCAGGTATCTCATATAAGTGGAATATTAAATTATTTATCCTTGCTGTCTAGCTGATTTCACTTAGCATAATGTCCTCAAGGGTTATCTACGTTGTAGATGTATCATAATTTCATTCATTTTATGGCTGAATAACATTTCATTGTATGATGCATATACACCAAATTTTGCTCATTCATTCACCTGTTGATGGGCATTTGGATTGTTTCTACCTCCTGGCTATTGTGAATAATGCTTCTATGAACACTGGTGCACAAGTGTCTGTTTGACTCCTTGCTTTTAATTCTTTGTGGTACATGCCTAGGATTGAGATTGCTAGATTATATGTTTATATAGCTTTATATTTAGCCTTTTGAGGAACCACTAAACTGTTCTTTACAATGGCTGCACCATTTTACATTCTCACCAGCAATGCATAAGATTTCCAGTTTCTCTGCATCCTTATCAACAATTATTAGTTTGTTTTTGTTTTGATAATGGCCATCCTAATGGGCATGAAATGATATCCCACTGTGGTTTTGATTTATATTTCCCTAATAGTTGGTGATAGTGAGCATATTTTCATGTGCTTGTTGACCATCTGTACAACTTCTTTGGAGAAATGTCTGTTCACGTCCTTTGCCCATTTTATTTTAATTTGGTGGTTGTTTTGTAATTGCCTTGTAGGAATTCTTTATATATTCTAGCTATTAACCAGATATTATCTGATATTATCAGACATTTGGTTTGCAAATATTTTCTCCCATTCTGTGGGTTGTCTTTGTAGTCTTTTTAAAAAATTATCTATTTTAATCGGCAAATAAAAATTGTATATATTTATGCCCCTTATCTTTGTCTCTTTTCTATGTGGCCCTTTTTCCCTCTCACAGATCTCATATATCCATTGTAGTCACACTATTTTCAGAGTATCCAGGAAGCCCCAAATAGTCTTCCTAATAGCATAAGTGCCCACAGTTATTCTCTTTAATCATCATCATTATCATCATCATCATCATCATCAATAGCTGCTATCTTTTGAGCTTACAGTGTGTCAAATACTCTGCTAGAAACTTTAGCTATGTCCTCTCAGATTTTATTTATAGCAAGTAAAAAGTTGATGCTATCCTTATCCCCATTTGACAGATGAGGAAACTGAAATTCAAATTAATAATATGATAGAGCTCTCATATACTGAAAGATTTCCTCATTAGTGTTTACCCATTGAAGCTGTCATATGAGAAAGGATTGTATCAATTAATTCAAATTTTAAATGAGGCACCTCTAACAAACCTATCTATTTTGTTAAAGACCATGCATTTAACCAATAGCATCCCTTTTATGTTGGAAGCTTCAGGCAAGAATCAGGGATATTTTAGGGTAGTTTGTACACACCAAATACTTCTGGGTAGTTAGTTGCTTGTTTTGCTCATAAGCAAGGGCAATTCTTATACAGATCTTCAGAATACCTAACAGGTAAACAAAAGAAGAGTCCTCTTTGACAAATTCAGCCAGAGGGCTACCCTCCAGTGAAAAAACACTGAGCAGGGGAGGATGCTTGGAAAGTTATCCTGGACTTACCTCTACCTGTCTGACTTCAGTCACTTCAGCTATTCCCTGGATACCAGCATTTAGCTATTATGAACTAAATTGTGCTTTCCAAAAATTTACATGTTGGAACCCTAGGCCTCAATGTGATAGTATTTAGAGATGGGGCCTTTGGAAGTAACTAAGTTTAATGAAGTCATGAGTGTGGGGTCCTGATGCAATGGGATCAATGTTCTTGTAAAAGAGGAAGCAGGGAAACACCATGTGAGACTATAGTGAGACAGTGGCCATTTGCAAGCCAGAAGGAGAGCTCTCACAAGAAACCGAATCAGCCAGAACATCGATCTTGGATTTCTAGGCTTTAGAACTGTGAGAAAATGAATTTCTGCTAAGCCATGTAGTCTGCAGTATTTTGCAATGGCAGCCCAAGCTAACTAACGTATAGTTATGCAATCTTGAAGGTCTTTTCCTTCCTTCTATGACTTATTTTTCTATTAGATGACTGTGTAATGCCATTCTGCTTGTGGATTACATAATGCTGCCTCATCTTCTTGGGAAGCAGTCCTACCTCTGATGAAATGACTGAACACAGCCTGGTAAGTGAAGTCAGGAAGGCACCAAGTCTTCAAGCTATGCATATGTTGTATGAACAATGACATAAATAAAATACCTGGGTCATTGCAGTAATTTCTCTTTTTGGCTATTACCCAGACAAACAAAATAAACAGCATGTGCCTGACATCAACACATCGAGTTTTCTCCCAAGATCACATGACTTTTCTATTCTCTACCCTGAATTACTATAATGCCAATACTAGAGATTTGTGGCTAAAATTATAGCACTTAGAGTCTAACTCAGTGCCACTTATAAGCTGGATAGCTTTGAGAAAATGAATTAATCTTTTTGAGCCAGTTTTACTTACCAGGAAAACAGTGGTAACAATAACTGCTAATTGTTATTTTATTATGAGGAAAAATTCAATAATTCATAGAATAGAAAGAAATTCTAATTCCAGTAATAACAGAGTAACTTGTATTGGACTAAACCAGCCACAGATAATAATTATAAACCATGGATGAAACATTTTAAGAAACACAACTATTTTAAGGCACTGAGAGTGATCCAAAGCAGGCATTTTATAAAATGGAGTGTATTATATCTATGAAAGAAGGAAACTACATGAGGTAAGATCCATGTGTATTGAGCTATTTTCCTGAAGGCACTCTCTGGTCCATATGTTGCAGATTAAATAGAAGTCAAGCAGAAAGTCACAGTTTTATATGCTAAAGATGTCAAAAAAAATTAAGTGCCATCAGTATGGCTGAAAATCGACAGAGAAAATTCAGGAAAGAGGGATGCTGTGGGCGGTAAGCACAAAAACTAGAGTGTAAACACCTCTCAAATCTTTGGCCCACTCCTGAATAGGTCTTGTGAGGGAGAGACTCAAAGAACCCAGCAGAAATCCACAGTGGAATCTAAAGGCCTAAACTGAGATTTCAGTTGCTGCCCTCTTCAGAGAAGACAGCATTTGGGGGTTTAATCATGCAATGCTAGAAAAGCTTGAAAAATGCCTTGAGCTTTCCATTAATACTCCAGAAGGGCTATGGCACGAAGTAAACACAACTTCTCAGGATTAAGGGATTCTTCCTAGGACTAAAAACAATACAGAAATATATATACCTGAGAAGAGTGTAAAATCTAGCCTTCACAAGTTCTTTAGTTTTTCACCCAGTCACTTAACTATCTGTAAGAATAAATCTGATAGAGGAGAAGTTTTTATAAATATACGTGTCTTTAATGTATCATCTATAATATCTAATATCACTAGATAAGAGAAGAAAGAGAAAAATGTAACCTATCTTCAAGGAAAAAAGGCAGGTACAAGCATAACTCATTTTTTTGTGCTTCACTTTATTGCACTTCAAGATAATTGTGCTTTTTACAAATTAAAGGTTTCTAGCAACCCTACATGGAGCAAGTCTAGTGGTGCCATTTTTCTAGCAGCATGTGCTCATTTGGTGTTAGCGTGTCACATTTTGGTAATTCTCACATTTCAAACTTTTCCATTATTGTTATCTTTGTTATGGTGATCTGTGAACAGTGATTTTTGATGGTAACTATTGCAATTGTTTTGAGGTGTCATGAGCCACACCCAAATAAGACAGTAAACTTAATTGATGATTGTTGTGTGTGCTCTAACTACTTCACCAACTGGCTGTTCCTCCATCTCCCTCCCTCTTCTGGGGCCTTCCTATTCCATAAGACACATCAATATTGGCCAATTAATAACTCTACAATGTCCTCTATTTCTTCAAGTGAAAGGAAGAGTTACATGTCTCTCACTTTAAACCAAAAGTTATAAATAATTAAGCTTAGTCAGAAGGCAGGTTGAAAGCCAAGACAGGCCAAAAACTAGGTCTCCTGCACCAAGCAGCCTAGTTGTGAATGCAAAGGAAAAATTTTGAAGGAAATTAAAAATGTTAATCCAGGAAACACATGAATAATAAGGAATCTAAACACCCTTGTTGCTGATATAAAGAAAGTTTTAGTGATCTGGACAGATCAAACCAGCCACAATATCCCCTTAAGCCAAAATCTAATCCAAAGTAAGGCCCTAACTCTCTTCAGTTCTATGAAGGCTGATAGATGTGAGGAAGCTGCAGAAGAAAAGTTGGAGGCTAGCACAGGTTGGTTCATGAAGTTTAAGGGAAGAAGCGATCTCCATAATATAAAAGTGCAAAGTGATGCAGCAGTTGCTCATGGGGAAGCTGCAGCAAGTTATCCAGAAAATCTAACTAAGTTCATTCGATCATTGCCAAAGGTGGCTACACAGAACAACAGATTTTTAATGGAGACAAAATAGCCTTCTATTGGAAGAAGACGCCAACTAAGACTTTCACAGCTGGAGAGGAGAAGTCAATGCCTGGCTTCAAAGTTTCAAAGGACAGGCTGACTCTCTTTTTAGGAGATAATGCAGCTGGTGACTTGAAGTTGAAACCAATGTTCATTTACCATTCTAAAAATCCTAGAGCCCTTAAGAATTATGCTAAGGCTACTCTGCCTGTGCTCTAGAAATGGAACAACAAAAGACAATGGCACATCTGTTTACAGCATGGTTTACTGAATATTTTAAGCTCACTGTTGAGACCTACTTTTCATAAAAAAGGATTTCTTTAAAATACAACTGCTTATTGATAATGTGTCTACTCACCCAAGAGCTCTGATAGAGATGTACAGAACGAATAATGTTGCTTTTATGTTTTATGTTTCCACAACATTCATTTGGGAACTCATGTATCAAGGAATAGTTTTGACCTCCAAGTCTTATTATTTTAGAAATATATTTCACAAGGTCATTGCTGCCACAGGTAAGGATTCCTCTGTTAGATCTGGGCAATGTAAATTGAAATCCTTCTTGAAAGGATTCACCATTCTAAATGCCATTAAGAGCATTTGTGATTCATAGGAGAAGGTCAAAATATCAAAATTAACAGGTAATTGGAAGAAGTTAATTCCTACCATCATGGGTAACTTTGAAGGGTTCAAGACTCTAGTGGAGGAAATAACTGCAGGTGGGGTGGAATAGCAAGATAACTAGAATTAGAAGTAGAGCCTAAAGATGTGACTAAATTGCTGCAATTTCATGAGAAAACTTGAACAGAGAAGTTGATTCTTAGGGATGAGCAAAGAAAGTTTCTTGAGATGGAGTCTACTCCTGGTGAAGATGCTGTGGACATTGTTGAAATGACAATTAAGTATTTGGAATGTCATATATTTTTATATTTTAAAGGAAATTTAAAATTCTAATTCAGTGAGTGGAAATAACAAGAAAAAAATTTGAGCCAGTTAAATTAGACTCTAAAAATTAGAAAATTTTAGATAAAGAAACAGCAGGGTTTGAGAAAACTGGCTCTAATATTTTTCCCTTTTTAAAAAATTCCCTCTAATAATTTATCTTAGGCTGACTCTAATTTTGAAAGTTCTACTGTGGGTAAAATGCTATCAAATAGCATCACGTGCTACAGAAAACAGAATGCCAGAAACGGTAACTACATGAGTAAAAACTATACCTAGATGTTTATCTTCTAGTTTCCTTAAAAGATAATTGATCAGTTATAGACTTAAATTTTAAACTCTACTATAGGAGAATGTTTTTGTGGTATAAGCCAGGCAAAGATTTTATAAATACAATATGAAAAGCATGATTCACAAAAGAAAATATTGATGTTAGACCTCATCAAAATTCAACACTTCCCCTGCAAAAGACAATGTTATGAGGCTAAAAAGGCCAACCACAGACTGGGAGAAATATTTGCAAAAAACTATATCTGGTCAGGCGCAGTGGGTCACACCTGTAATCCCAGCACTTTGCGAGGCCAAGGCAGGAGGAGCACGAGGTCAAGAGTTCCAGACCAGCCTGGCCAACATGGTGAAACCCCATCTCTACTAAAAATACAAAAAAAAAAATTAGGTAGGCACGGTGGCACATGCCTGTAGTCCCAGCTACTCAGGAGACTGAGGCAGGAGAATCACTTGAACCCAGGAGGCAGAGGTTGCCGTGAGCCAAGATTGTGCCACTGCACTCCAGCCTGGCAGCAAAGCAAGACTCTGTCTCAAAAACAAAACAAAACAAAACAAAAAAACACACACAACTATATCTGACTGAGGACTTTTATTCAGCATATGTAAAGAAATGTCAAAACCTACATAAAAGTAAACAACCCAATTTTTTAAAAAATGGGCAAAGACTTGAACAGACATTTCACTAAGGAATACGAATGGCAAATATATGAAAATATGCTCAACATCATTAGCCATTAGAAAAATGAAAATTAAAACTACAGTAAGATTCTATACACATCTATTAGAATGAAACCCTCTCCCAAAAAGGGAAAAGAAAAAGAAACAGGTGCTGGAGAAGATGTAGAGTGTATTCATTTCCTAGGGCTACCATAACAAATTATCACAAACTTGGTGGTTTAAAACACAGAAATTTGTTTTCTCACAGTCTGGAGGTGAGAAGTTCAAAATCAAGGTATCAGCAGAAACACACCTCCTCTGAAGTTTCTTAGGAAAAATTCTTTCTTGCCTCCTCCTAATTCCTGATCATTGCTGGCAATTGTTGGTATTCCTTGGCTTGTAGCAGCTTCACTCTGATTCCTACCTCTATCTTCACACAGCTGTTTTCCTTCTATTTTTGTATCTCCAAATTTCTCTCCTTATAAGGACACCTATTGTTGGATTAAAAAGCCACTCTATACCAGTAAGACCTCGTCTTAACTTGAGTATACTTGTAGACTCTACTCCAAAACATGGTCACGTTCACAAGTGCCAGGGGTTAGGACTTCAGTATATCCTTTGGAGGGGACACATTTAACCCACAACACAGAACAACTATAACTCTCATAGAGTACTAGTGAGAATGAAAAATGATACAACCAGTTTGCAAAACAATTTGGCAGCATTTTATAATGTTAAACATACACTGTATCATACACACACACACACACTGCTATATGCAATGAACTGAATGCGTATCTGCTCAAAATTCATATGTTGAAAGCCTAACCCCCAATATGATTGTATTAGTAGGTGGGGCCTCCTACTGATGAGGGTGGAGCCCTCCAGAATGGAATTAGTGCCCTTATAAAAAGAACCCCAGAGAGCTCTCTTGCCCTCTTTCCACCATGTGAAGACACAAGTAGAAGTCAGCTGTTTGCAACCCCGAAGAGGGACCTCACCAGAACCTGACCATTTATATGATATTCCAGAAATAGCAAAACTATAAGGAGAGAAAAATATATCAGTAATTTCCAGGGTTGTATCGAGAGGAGGGCTTGACTATAAAAGGGTGGCATGAGAACATTTTTTCAGGTGATAGAATAATTCAATATCCTGATTGTGGTAGTGGCAGGTGGTTATACAAATCTAGACATAGTTAAAACTCGTAGAACTATACATCAATAAAAAGTCAACTTTACTATACATAAATTTAAGACATAATTTTTAAAAAGAAAAAAATATTGAGATACCACTACATACCTATTAGAATGGCTAAAAAAATACCAACAACGCCAAATATTAGCAAGGCAGTGGACCAACTTGAACTTACATGTATTGCTGGAGGAAGTATGAAATGGCCCAATCACTACTGAAACTATTTGGTAGCTTTTTTTTTTTATAAAGTTAAATATAAACCTACCTCATGACTCAGCAGGAAAAAAAAAACCCATATCAACAAAAAGACTTGTACAAAAAATGTGCAAAGCAACTTTATTTGTAAGACTCAAAAACTAGAAACAGCTATCTACCAATAGGTGAATGGGCAAAGAAATTGTGGTACATACACAGAATATTGCTCAGTAATAAGAAAAAAGCCACTAAAACCTACAATAATACATATGATGTTAAAAGCATGCTAAATAAATGAAACCAGACTCAAATATGAATGCATTGTTTAATTTCACATATTTGTCTTTGCACAGGCAAAACTAATGTGTGGTACTAGAAAACAAAGCAGAGATTGCCTCTAGGGAATGGGACACATAGAAACTTTCTGGAGTGATGAAAATGTCCTATATCTTGATTGGGATGGTGGTTACATGGGCAGGATTTAACTTATCAAAACGTGGGTCAAATATCAAAACTTAACAAATTTTAATGTAAGATTTGGGCATTTCACTATACAGTAGTCCCCTCTTATCCACAACAGATACATTCCAAGACCCCCAGTGGAAGCCTGAATCTTTGGATATTACCAAACCCTATAAATACTATATTTTATCCTATACATACATACCTACAATAAAATTTAATTTATAAACTATGCATACTAAGAGATTAACAATATCTAATAATAAAATAGAACAATTATCACAATATAATGTAGTAAAAGTTATGCAAATATGGGGTCTCCTTTTTCTCTCTCTCAAAATATCTTATTGTACTGTACTCACCTAATTTCAGACCAAGGTTGACCTCAGGTAACTGAAACTGCAAAGAGTAAAACCACACATAAGGGGACATTACTGTATGTACATTATACTTCTATAACAAATATATAATTTGTGTAGCGCACCTAGCAACAGTGGCTTGCATATAATAAGCATTCAGTTTATGCTAGCTCCTTTGTTGGAGTTATTTAAGTCTACTCCTGCCACACTCATAAGTGAGGGATATCCATATGGTCTCTTTACATGTGTATTCACATTCAGTTCTAGCATAGTGCTGACACTTGAAATGATGTTTGTTGAATGAATAATAGACTGGCCCAATAGAAGAATGGATTCAACTCATACAATGTCAGAATTGCAAAGGAAGGTCCTGCATCCCTCTTCCACTCAATGCGCAACAACCCCTCCCCGTTCCTGGCCTCGTTGAACGAAGTCACTACTCCAGTTTGTACTCTCACAAAGGCAGGGCAATCATCACTTCATAGGGCAAACTATTTCATGTTGTCCAGATCATATTGAGCAAAAAAATCTCTTTCTCTAATATTTACTTTTAAGCCCACCAGGGAACCTCATGGTATAATTACAATCTCTCTTCCCCATGTGGCAGGGGTATAGTTGGTTACTGTGGAACACGGCTAGGACTAGGATGAGGCATGTGAGGCACTTGCCTCAGCTGCAGAATTTAAGGGTGAGATAAAAATCTCAGGAAGCAAGATAAATAATATTTAATGCAATATTTTTAAAAATCAAATCAACAAACTATAGCAGCCCACCAGGGCAAACCTCAAAAAGCTTGATGAAGATTTTCTCTTAAGGCTGAACCATAGGATTGCATTTCAAGCTTCACGAAACCATAGCCTATTTTTAAGGGATATTTTTGTTTGTTCTTTAACAACCCAGAAGCCAAGGCCTCCTACGCAGGAATAACTAATGAATCAACCTCCCAGCATGCCCTCAAGTCTGCTTTTCCATCAAGCAAACACGCAGCCAGTCTTCTAGTCAGAAATTAGCCTCAAGGATTATAGTTTGCTTTTTCCAAAAGTGACAAACAGACCTCCTGGAGCAAAGATGTACTTAACCAGCTGTGTTCTTACCTGACCAGTTCCGGAGAAAGAAAAAAATGAGGTGGGAGATTAAAATCAAGGCTGCATTGGGTGCCTTATTGCCACCCATTCTTTCATTTTCTCTTCTTTCATTCATATTGATCTAAAGCTCAGCTCTCTTGAGAGCTACCATTTCCTTAGCACCTACTATGTGCCAGGTGCTGAGCTTGGTACTTGTCATTTAGATTCCTAATCTTCACAACAACCTTGCAAATAAGTCATATTATTAACTTTTGATGCTCAAATCCAGAAATATAAAGTATCTAGTTCAAGGTCACATAGCTAATTTTGGTGGTAGAACTGGGAGTCAAATCTATGTTTCTCTGAGGTCAAAGTGCACTCTTCAACGTGGCCCTGACAATGGCCTTGCATTCAGTTCCTGTGGCAGTAATTCCCCAACTTCATACATTCCTCATTATTTCGGTTTTTGTCATATCCGTGTACAATTACCATAACCTAACTATTATATGCATAAAACTTTTTATAAATCAATACTTTTATTTAAATTTTGGATAAAAATTAAGTAATGTTTTAAAGAAATTTTAGATCATTTCATGAATTAGAAAAGAATATCATTTTCCATATGTGGCTAATAGATGAAATAGAAACAAAAAAATGCCATTAAATTCTAGCCAACCACTCTGGCTTACCAAACACTTTGAACCTAAGGCCTGTATGCTCTGCTAAAAAAGGAAATTAGAAAGTGCTAGAAAGGCATAAAGTCCAATTAGAATCCAACATAGACTTTTCCTTTGATGCCATCAAAAGTCAGAAGAATTAAAGGAAAATTAATGAGAATTAACTTCTTAGAGGTTGAATCAATGTTGCCTAACTCTAGGTCTGGAGAGACCAGAATTCCCCTTGAGTACCCCAATGGCTGGCATTTCTTACACTCTCAGAAGCACGCTACAGAACATTGTGGCAGATCATCTAGTGTCTTATGCCACAGCACACTGCCTCTCAATCATCATCGTAAAAGTCCTTAGGGCAATAGGAAGTTGGGAGACTTGTATTATTCTCTAGCCTCTATCATGGATCATCTATAGGATCTGAGGCAAATTATATCAACTTTCTGAACCTCAGTTTCCTCACCTATTAAGAAGATAATTAGTCTTCTTTTTATTCCATAATTCTTTTCAGATCTAAAATTTTCTGAATTTTACTTCGTCTTATCTGTTGATTTTATTTTCCCCAAATTCCATTATTTAAATTTTGTTCCTGTGAATAAAAGAAACAAATTCTACTGTAGTCTATTGCCTCTGTATTTGTCATTGGTACAAAACAAAATCTGTAACTTGCAATGGTAAGATTTGAAAACTTTGATAATGATCAGTCTATCCAGTTGCTTTAGATTATTACGTATGTAGAAGGTCCTTGAATATAATGTTTAATATAAAGATGATACAGAAAAAGAGCCCAGAGCCAGACAGATGAATTCTAAACTGGCTTTTCTCCCTACATGCCATGGAACCTTGGGCAAGTATCTTACCCTCTTTGACCCCGTGTTCTTACCTATAAACATGGGTGAATAATTTTTATCCTCTCCTAATTTAGGGTTGTTATGGGGATAAAATGATCTCATTGATGAGAAAATGTTTGGAAAAAACACTACCCAAGTTCAATGTGTCATAGGATTCTTCTTACTGTCAAATGAGATAAGAGATGTGAGGGTACTTTGATAGTCTCATATAAATTGTCAGTTGACCTTGTATGAGTCAGTCAGTCTCTCTAAGACTGTTTTCTCATTTGAATGATAAGCCCACTTAGGCTAGTTTATCACTAAAATTCTATGGCTTTGGGATTGATTTATTGTCAAGTATGATGACTGTTATACTTCAACATATCAGTCAGAATCACAGAAAAATAGATAATAAAGATGAACCCGTGTCTAAAATGCAAGATGTGGGCCAGACACGGTGGCTCATGTCTGTAATCCCAGCACATTGGGAGGCTGAAGTGGGTGGATTGTTTGAGCCCAGGAGTTCAAAACCAGCCTGGGCAACATGGTGAGACTCCATCTTTAAAAAAAAATTTTAAAACTTAGCCAGGCATGGTGGTGCACACCTGTAGTCCCAGCTACATGGGAGGCTGAGGCAGGAGGATGGCTTGAGCCCAGAAGGTCGAGGCTGCAGTGAGCCATGATTGTGTCACTGCACTCCAGCCTGGGTGACAGAGCAAGACCCTGACTCAAAACAATAAATAAATAATAAAATGGAAGATGCACTAGGATTAGAGGCCAAAGTTCTGGGTTTGTGCTTCAAACTGACCCCATTCACTGGAGTTTTATAATCCCTAGGACTTACAATTGGGGGCCTAGCCAATGAGCTGGTCCCACTTTCCTGGATAGACTAATTTACTCAGGGATGGGAATTTACCCAAAATGATACAAAAAAATCAAATCCCAGATTCTGTCGGAACTATTATGAAGAAGGTGTTTTGTTTGTTTGTTTGTTTGTTTGTTTGTTTCTAACAGGACTGCTGGCTGTGGAGATAATATAAGTCTGGAGTCTTGTTGGTGGCCATCCGCTTCCACCAAAGGAGACCAGCTTTCTGAGAATGAAGCCAACTCAGAGCAAAGAAAGGAACAAGGGGGATCCCTGATAACATCACTGGGATTCCTGGACCCAGCTTTGTCTGAGGATAGACACCCAAAGTTACATAAACCTGTAAATTATCTTTTTAGCTAAAGCTAGCTTGAGGTGGGCTTCTGTCACATGCAACCAAAGGAGTTCCTACTGATACACAAATGTTTTCCAATGTGCCCTGTGGAGTCCTGAAGGTCCCCCCAGAGGTGCTTTGGGAGCCACCAAAGTAAGACTGGGACACACCAAACTAACTGGCAGTGGTTGGGGCCCATGTGCCCCGATAAAATTCCTTCTTCTTTATCTGTTTCATATACTGGGGCACCATGTGAGATCTGCTTTGAAAGCAGGTTTTTAGGATACTAGACCTCATGGTTCCCTAGAGATCTCTCTGAAACCAAAAAAAAAAAAAAATCTGTCTTTAAGAGGGAGGGGTCTCTTGATCTTAACCCCTTCTAGTATAAGGGACAAAATTAAAAGGCCTATAAGTGGGTGTGAAAAGGAAGACTGATGACAGCTGGGGAGACTTTTCCACATGTATAAAAAGACAGCACAATTGGAGCCCAGCGATGGCCACTATGCAAGCTCAAGGATCCCGGATATTTTAATTTTTTAAGAGAAGCCAGACACCCGAATTTTTTTGTAGAAATATTCTCACTTTAGTTCTTGGCAACTAATTCAATAGAATTTTAGTGTACCTTTAAGCCCGGCAAGATACATTTACAAACTAAATTCAAAATGTGAACCACAATTGTGTCTTTTCCTTACTGAGCCACAGATACTCCTCAGTAGGTCTGAGTTCCACATCATAGGACACACTCAATGTGCATGTGCATATGTGGACTTTAGGTCCTAGAGAAAAGTCTAGAGTTGTTTATTCTATTTTCCTTGCAGTCTCTATAATACAGAAAAGGTTAAAAATAAATTATCTACTAAAAGACTATTACTCCAGAAGTGTTTCTCTCTCTCTCTCTTCCCCCCACCCCCCACCCCGTGTGTGTGTGTGTGTGTGTGTGTGTGTGTGTGTGTGTGTGTGTGTGTGTTTATTTTGACCGGGACACTATCTCTCCAATATTCTTCTCCTCTTTCAGAGCTAAAAGGTCAATTCTCTCCTCTCTTATGTCCCTCATTCTCCTCCCAATGAGAAAGAACATTACATTACCATCGATATTTACTGTGCTCAGCCAGCAGAGAAATAAAATGTTCATGGGCCGTTAATCCAGCTTTAACCCTCTGCAGAATTTACCTCCGCCTACCCTGAGACAAGACAGGTCTAACACTGCATCACGAGTCTAACATTGCACCCGTTGCCCTTTAAAGCTGCCAGATCTGCAGCATGGAAGACAGGGTAGAGAAGGAGGAACATTCTGTTTTGGTCTCTATTCTACTTTCACCGTGCAGTGTAATGTCCAGCATACAGTCCTCCCTTACTCAAAAAAAAAAAAAAAATCACTGAAAGTCTGTTGAAATCATGAATTAATGCTAAGATTCTTTGAGCTGTGGAGAGATGTTTCAAATACTTTCAGTTCATTGTCTGCCCATTCCCAGGCCTAGTCTGAATAAAATATATATGTACATTTATATATTTTCCTTACTAGCATCTAAACTGGCCTTTGAACTAAATAACCTTCTACTTCTGTCCCCATAAAATCAACCTTCGGAGAATGGGTTCCATTCATCTAAATCAGTGTCCCTCCATCTCCCCCTCCAAAGCACACACTACTTTCTGTTTTATTTTTATCACAGCAACTCCGCCTGTCATTTTCCTGTTTGTGTACTTGTTTATTTGTTCAATTCCCCTCCAGGATGTACTGCATCCCATTTCAGGTTTCACATTTCAAGAGTGACACAGACAATGTGTCCACAGAGTATTCAGGAGATGAAAAGAAGGAAAACAGTAGATTATTTTAAATAGCTGGGAAAATTTACATACCATTCAGCCTAAAAATGAAACTCAGGTAAGACTGACTCTAAATATATGAAGAGCTGTCCTATAGAAGGGAATTTCAACTTCACACTGAATGGATGCAGCAGACAATCATAACCAAAGTCATGACTCAGGGACAACAGATTTCATCTCGGGAGCAGGAAGAACTTCCTAACCACTTGAAATGTCCATCCTTGGAAAGGGCCTCTTTGGAAAATTTGAACCCCCATCAGAAGAGGTCCTCAATTTAAGACAAGACTTGTCAGGAATAAAGTAGGAGCAATTTTACATCAAGAGGGCAGCTGTCTGTCTCAGGTGACTGCCACATCTGTGACTATGTAGCTAAATAAGTTCAGGAATTGGCAGCCCCTTCCCCTTCTACACTAACATTTTGCTTGTCCCTTCCTTTCTCTTTTCTTCCTTTAGCTTGAGGAAAAGCAGTGAGCACAGTAGAAGTCTGTAATATCAGCAATCTTCTGCAACATTTGGGTTGGTTGGGGCAGGGAGATATGCAAGTCAACTTTGAGGCTCATAGAGTAGGTAGGGGAAACTTACTTTTCTCTGAGCCATGAAGATATTAGATCAGTCCTCACCAGAAAGTAATTAAAAGTCACCCCAAAGCTCACTTCTTACTCTTCATTGCTTGGTAACCTCAGAGAGGTTGACTCTCTGAGCCTCAGTTTCCTTATCTGTAATGGGAAATGATGCCCAGGGTACCTATACCTCACAGGATTGCGATGAAGATTCAGTGATATGACTTATACATAGAAAGGGCTAAATTATTACATTGGTGCAAAAGTAATTGCACCATTAAAAGTATTACTTTTAATGACTAAAAAACTTCAATTACTTTTGAACCAACCTAATACTAAGTTAATGCATTATTATTATCATCATTATCACATACAACCACAAGGGCCTGAAAATATTGTGGTCATGAGAAAAAGCAGCAAATCAGTAGACATGAGTTTTTGTACCAGCTCTGCAATTTGTTTACCACATGATCTTGGGAAAATCTCTTGGAGTCTTTGTTTTGATGGATGGGTGAATAGCTGCATGGATGGATGGATGGATGAATGGATGGACTGATGGATTGGTGGATGAATGAAGAGATAACAGATAGACATATATAGAGATACATAATGTGTTTTATCCTATTGCCATACTACTTCACAAGGGGAATTGTCAAATTCAAATGAAATCACAGTGACATCTTTTTTATGCAAATAGCAATGATAGTATTATGCATGTGAAGATAAGTACCTAATATGGAACATAACTAACAAAAAAGCATCTTACAGTTAATGAAGTACCTTCTTCTTTACTAGCACAAGTAGCCCAGTGGCAAGGAAAAGAGCTATAGCTTACAGATGAATAAAACCAAACTCCATTTCAAGCCCTTTTTTCTAAAAGGCTAAGACTGGAATATGCTCTTGCCCAGCCCCATGGAGGCTGCTCATTGTGTTTCTTAAGGGGATTTGGAAATGTTATTGTCATTTTCGATGAGACCCTTTTTGTTGTGCAGGGCAGGATTGTTCTGTATGTCACAAGACATATGGCACCCTGACCTCCCTACTTAGTGTCAGCAATGCTCCCTCTCCTCTATTGTGACCAACAAAATGCTCCGGCTAATGTCAAATGTCCCCTAAGGGGAGAGGCAATATTGCCCTGGTGAAGAACCACTGTTAGAAAAGGAGTCATAGGAATGGCTTACAGTCATTTCAAGATCTTCATTGTAGGGCCCCTGCCCACGGGAACTGCCTTATCCCATCATAGCCCATCTTCCACTTTGCCCTCATGCACTCTAAAAACACTCATTGAACAGTTTCCACTTGCTAGGCACTATTGTAAATGTTAAAGACACAGCAGTGAGCAAGAAAGACAAGGTTCCTGCCCTTTTGCACATTACAGTGAAGTCAGGAAAGGTAGGCAAAAATAAAGTAAACCAATACTGGGGAAGAGAATCCCAGGAGAGGAAAGAGCAACCACAAATGACCCGAAGCAAGATCAGCTTGGCATGTCCAAGGACCAGCCAGAAGGACAGAGTGGGCAGCACAAGGAAAGCAAGGCAGAAGTGGAGGTGATGAGGTCAGAAATGTTGGCAAGAGCCAGAACATGCAGGTCCTCATGCTTTCCTAGGTTATTCTGCACCTCCACTCCTTTACTCTAACTGTCCAATTGCCTGGAAGGCCCTTCTCTTTGTTACCACCTAGAAAACTTCTATGCTTTCTCTGATGCAAAACTCCTAAGCAAAGTTGGTTTGTAATTTCCTCTGTAAAGCTTACCCTGATTTCCATTGGTTGTAAGTAACTCCCCCTGTCTCTTTTGTTTCTACTATGCTTTACACATATCTTGTTAATGGTTAAGAGAACTGGCTCTGGAGCTAAACTGTCCCCAGTTCACACTAACTCTGTATCCTTAGGCAAGTTGCTTAACTTCTCTGGACTTTGTTTTATCCTCCGCAAAACTGGGAAAAATAATAGTACCCTTTGACACTATTGAATTAGCATGAAGATTAAGTGAGTTAATATAAGTGCTTAGAACAGTACCTTGCACATGGTAAGTGCCCAATTGTTACGAAACACTGTATCATATTAATGTATTTCCATATCTATCTCCCCAAATAAATTCTAACATTGCTTGAAGGCATGACTTGGGTCAAGTGTCTTACACATATGTCCTCTATAGCTAAAATTATTTGCGAAACATAGCAGATGCCCAGTAAAGATGGTAAAAGGGAAAGAGAAGAAGAAGAAACAAAGGCAAAAGACTGTAAAGCAAGGGAAGAAAAGCTTCACATTTTTTAAAGGATGTTGACATCACTTTGCTTATTTCATTGTCATAGAAACTCAGTAAACCTACAGAGTAAGATTTACTTGTCTTACTTCACAGATAGGAAAGCTGAGTCCCAGAGAGGTGCATGATTTGTTCTTTACAATGAATGAGTGAAGAGAACTCTCCTCATACGTTGGCTACATTGAAAGTACAGGATATCTTTATCCTTAACAAGTCAGCAACAAAAATAATCATGGGAATCCTGTTTGTAGAGAGCTTTGTGTTTATGAAATAAAACCAACACTTTTGGAAGCTTTAAAACTTTGAGGTGGTCCGAGTTGATTCTTTCCACCTTCCAGAGAAAGAGACTGGAGCCTATAAAGCAAGTGCCTCCCCTGTAGTTGGCATTAGCACTGGAATGAAAACCCAGTGTTCTTGGATCCAAGTCCAGTGCTCACTTCGCTCCAGTACACTTCCCCAGGCTGAGGCCCAGGAGTATGTTCCTGGGACTGGGCCTTAAGTTATCTGTTCCTCCCTAAGAGTCTGGGCCTCTTTCCTCTGTACCCACAGTCCCTTTCCATTCAAAAAGAGAAAAACTATTCATTGTGTAACAAATATCTAGGTGATATTTAAAAACAGTCATAATCGTGTTCCTGAGCCAATTTCTATTCTAGGCACAGCCAGTGACTCACTGGCAACCTTGGACAAAAAAAAGGTAACCTTTATTTTGCTGGCAAGTTTCTATTTATCAAAATGCAGAGTCACAAGCAACACAGTTTCTGACAAGATTTCCCCAGCCCCCAAAGTCTATAAGAACCTCCAGAGATCATGAATCCAGCCCCTCCAACATTTGACAGATTTTGACAAACCTATTTCAGGTTGAAGCCACCAAACTGAAACTATGACCTGGGACTGATCCGTCTGTTGACTTTAAAATGGAATGGCTTTCCTATCACTCAGATAATGAGGAGTGGAAATGTGACCAGAGCCCACCTCATGATTCCTAGTGAAGTGCTGATGGCAGACTCACCAACAGCTTCTCTGCTAGGTATGCTTTCAGAAGAAAGCATACAGACTCTTCTAAGATTTACAAATGCCAAGGGATTGCATGCCGTAGAGCCCAGAACTGGGCCAATGAGAGCCACTGTACAGAGAAAAAAAGGATAACATTGGCTTGGCTTGTCCCTTTCTCTGCATGTAAAATATCTACCCCAAAATAAAATACTGTCGACATGTAGAACATTCCTTCATTTGTTCATCCAATATTTACTGAGTGCCTAATGCATCAAGTATGGTGTTAGGTGCCAGGAAATAGCTTTGAACAAGTCGGTGTCTGCCTTCTTGGAGCTTACAGTATGGTAGAAAAGGCATATATCAAAACAATCACACAGATAATTATTGAAATATAATTGGGCTAGATGTTGTAAAGTGCAGAAGCTAGGAAAAATTATAATAGGATATCTCACTAAGACTGGAGGATCAAGCAAGACTTCACTGAGGAAGTACTATTTAATCTGAACCCAGAAAGATTAGCTGGAAGGAATAAAGAGCTTTCTAGGCAAAGGGAAGAGCATGTACAAAGAGCTTGAGGCATGAAAAACCATGGAGTGCCTGAGAAGCTGAAAGCAGACCTTTATGAATGTCATACAAGGTGGAGATGTGAAGAGAAGTGAGATGAGAGTTGGGCATGGCATAGAGTTTGTAAGAGTGAGTGGGTCATGGTAAGGAATTTGGACTTTAATCTTGACTATGCTTTCCCAGGGAATATCCGGCTGCCTTCTCCATATGGAAATACTTAGAGGAGCCAGGCACTGGGCCTGCCCCATGCACACTCTCCAGGGATTGATCAGTAGTTAGCCTGCCCAAGGACAGAATACAGAGGAAATGTAGTAATTTCTCAGTATCCCTTCACAATCTTTCCTAAGACTAGAGAAAAACGAAGTACCCAGTGCAATGGCTTGGGCTAGCAAAAGCCCTTCTACACAACCACTCAGTGATGTAAAATCCAAATGCTCTACAATGCACAGAATCGATTAGCCAAGCAGATCCTTCTTTATACTTTCTGTTCTCAAGGACAGAGAGACATTTTACCTCAATTTGACTTTTTTTTTTTTGAGACGGAGTCTTGCTCTGTCGCCCAGGCTGGAGTGCAGTGGTGCAATCTCAGCTCACTGCAAGCTCCGCCTCCCGGGTTCACGCCATTCCCCTGCCTCAGCCTTCTGAGTAGCTGCGACTACAGGTGCGCGCCACCAGGCCGGCTAATTTTTTGTATTTTTAGTAGAGACGGGGTTTCACCGTATTAGCCAGGATGGTCTCAATCTCCTGACCTCGTGATCAGCCCATGTCTCGGCCTCCCAAAGTGCTGGGATTACAGGCATGAGCCACCACGCCCAGCCACTCAACTTGACTTTTAATGGCAATTACAGAAGATTAGAGTAGCAATGAATCTTAGACAATTGATAATGATGATTTCATAAATCAGCAAAAAATATACACATATATTTTAGAAATGATATTAAGAGGAATTTAACCATTTAAAACATTTAAAAATATATACACATATGTAATATACTTATATATGTAAATATTCTTAATAAGGACCTGGCCTAGTGTCCCCATCTTTTTGTCAAATAAAGACATTTTTAAAACAAAACCAAAAACGTTTTGTCTGTACGTCACCATGATTTAATTTCAGCATGGGAGAGGACATTTTGACCAAAAATTTCAAAAGAGAAAGGATATAATCTTGAATTAAGAATAGTCATTTCTCAGGTAGTAGAAATAATACATTTGCACCAACATATGCACCCTAGACAGAGCAGCTCTGGGAACCTCTGGCCTGGAGCTGTGCTGTCCAGTGCTCCCTGGACGTATATGGTTACTGAGCACTTGAAATGTGGTAAGTTGAAGTTAAGATACGCTGTTAAATGAGAACACATGGACACAGGGAGGGGAACATCACACACTGAGGCCTGTCATGGGGAGGAGGGCAAGGGGAGGGAGAGCATTAGAACAAATACCTGATGCATGCAGGGCTTAAAACCTAGATGACGGGTTGATAGGTGCAGCAAACCACCATGGCACACGTATACTTACGTAACAAACCTTCATGTTCAGCACATGTATCCCAGAACTTAAAGTAAAATAAAATAAAATAATTTTTTAAAAAGATATGCTGTTAAATATATACGAGATTTCAAAATTCAATAAGAAAAAATGTGAAGTATCTCATTGACAATCATATATTGACTACATATTAAAATAACATTTTGGATATACTGGGATAAATACATTGTTAAAACTAACCTTATCTGTTTTCAATGTTTTTCTTTTTATGGATTTAGGGGGTACAAGTTCAGTTCTGGTGCATGGATCTACTGTACAGTGGTGAAGTCTGGGCTTTTAGTGTAGCCATCATCTGAAGAGTGTACTTTGTACCCACATTTTTAATTCTTTAATGTAGACACTAGAAAATTTAAAATTACCTATGAAGCTCACTTTGTATTTCTGTTAGTCAGAGCTGGCCTAGAGCACCTGTCCCATTGCACAGGTGGAGAAATTCAAAGAATCTTTGTAGAAAGTACCAAAAACAAAACAAAACCAACAACAATGCTGGCAGTGGGACATCACTATGATTAAGAGAGCAGCTAGTGGAAATTAGAAAACAGGATTCTGAGCTTGGCTATGCCTCACATTTACTAAGTGAGCTGAAGCAGACGGCTCCCCCTTGCTGGGCCTCAGTTTCCTCATCTCTGAAATGAGGGACTTGGATGAGATAGAATTTGAGGCCCCTGACAGCTTTGACACTCTGATCCTCTCCCCTCCCACCTCTGGGCAGGCCATCGCTCAGATCACCCAGGATTGGAGGATAATTTTCCAACTTCAGAAGGATCCCCAGAGAAGGAGCCCTGGGAAACCCAGTGGCTGACACATGTTGGAGTGTCACAATATTGATGATGTTCTCTGAGAACACAGAGGCCACCTTCCTCCAGAGCTGAATGTATAATTGAGTAATGTGAGCCTTGCTGAGCCAAAGCTGTCAGTCTTGTTCCTCAGGACTGAGCTCTGCTTTGATAGACGAGGCTCTTTGGTAAGAAAAATATTTACTGAGTGTTCACTCTGTACCCAAGCCTGGGCAAAGTACTTTGCTATGGGTTGAACTGTGTCCCCACAGAAAGGTATTAATATATTGAAGTCCTAACCCCGGTACCTCAGAATGTGACCTTATTTGAAAATAGTGCCTTTACAGAAATAGTCAAGTTAAAATGATGTAATTAGACTGGGCTCTAATCCAACATGACTGGTGTCCTTATAAACGGGGGAATCTGGATACAGAGACAGACACACACAGAAGGAATCTGATGTGACAACACATGGGGAAAAGACAGCCATATGACTGGAGCCATGCATCTGTGAGCCAAGAATGCCAAGATCATCAGCTTCAGAAGCTTCAAGAGGCAAGGAAAATGTCTCCCCTGGAGCCACCTGAAAGAACAAGCCTCTGCCAACACCTCGATTTTGAACTTTTGGCCTCCAGAAGTGTGAAACATTTCATCTATCTTGTTTTAAGCCATGCAGTTTGTGGTACTTTGTTATAGAAGCTCCAAAAAGCTAACACTTACTTCTTAAACCCATTACTTCCTGTAATCCTCACAATAACCCCATGTGGTAGGTGCCATGATTATGGCCCACTTTGCTGGTTGGGTAAAAGGACAAGTAAGTTATCCAGATGGTACAGTTAGTATGTGCAGGGGCCACAGCTGAACCCAGTTGTACCTACTCTTGGCACTTCTGTTCTTCTGCCCTGGTAGAGGAGAAAGCACCTGAGATCAGAGGACTGAGACAGCACTAGATCGTCCCTGTGTGGTCCTGGGAAAGTTACTTTACCTCTTAGGCCAAAAGAAATGATGGATAATGACAATGAGACCGGAAATAAATTAATGACATGAAATGTATAGATGTTTTGATGAATTAAATGTGATAAGCAAGAGAGAGGATTAAAATCAGGTCGTTTCTCAGGTTTCTATCCTAACTAACTCGTAGATGTCTATTACCTACCACAAGAACCACTACTGTCACCCACTGTGACCACAACCACAGCCACCACCCTAGCTACTAGTGCCTCGACCTTCTCATTCCTACTCCCCCACCCCACCTCACATTTACATTTACAGATGGTTTATTATGTACCGGGTAGAGCTTTATCTTCATTTTACAGAGGGACGAACTGAGGCTTGAGAAGGTTAAAAAAAAAAAAAAAAGTCACAGCACACTGACATAAAAGGAAAATTTCTGAAAGAAGGAATTCAAAATCTCTTGCTATTTTTTACATAAGCCTCTTCATTACTTCTCCCTAGGACTGAGATCACGAAAAGATATTCCATTCCCAAGAAGAATGCCAATCTGGACTATTAAATTCCAGGGCATCGTATAGTACCCCAGCACCAGTGAGAAGTTTTCAAAAAGGACACAGTAGGTTGTAATAAAAATAGACAGGCTCTTTCCTTTTCTATCTCATTCTACAAAGCTAGAGCCTGGCTCACCCTCTTTCTCCCAAAAGCCTAGAGAAAGGAACATGTTTTCTCCTTCTCTGTCTATAGAGCATCTAGAACCCAGCCTATAAAAGTCTAGAGCAAGTGGCTACAAATTCTCTCTCTCTCCTACATTTGTATATGGCTTGTCATGTCAGAGTGGAGTTTCTAGTTTGGGTATTGGGTTAGAAACAGAGCAGGCCTTTCAACCTACCTTGTTCCAGTGCCACTCAAATTCATCCACGAATGGAGAGAGGAATCCTTCATAAGTCCAGCTTGATTTACTTTCAGTTCTATACCAGTCATGGGGTCTAAAACCATAATTAATAACCAGATTATTCCTTTGCTTTGCATCAATCTCCTTTGAGGATCTTGTACAGACTGGTGGAAAGCTGAGGATCGAATTCTGCTTTTCCCACATAACCAACCACCATAATATTATCTTAATCTCACCATAACTTCCAATAGTGGTATTATTCATGGAGACAGAAAATATTGCAAAATGAGCAATTCTAGTGATTGATGATAATGAGAATGGAGGTGAAGTTTAATTTTGAGATGCCACTGGGCACCCATTGGGCATCTAAATAAACAGGAGCTCAAGGAGAATTCTAGTCTGAAAACATTGATTTGGCCATGGTATATGGATGGTGACAGACATCATATAAGACACAGTTGTATAGAGAGAATGTGTGTAATGAGAAGGTAAACACTATAAGGACATAATCCTGAGAAATAGCTACGTAACCTTTCTGAGCCTCATTTTCTCTTCTGTAAAATGAGGATTGAAAATAGTTCCCCTTGAACTCTTATACACTAATAGTGAAAATGTAAATTAGCACAGCCACTATGGTAAACAGAATAGAGGTTCCTCAAAAAAATAAAAATAGAACTACCATATGATCCAGCAATCCCACTGCTGGGTATATACCCAAAGGACATGAAATGAATAGTCAAAGAGATATCTGCCCTCCCATTTTTGTTGCAACACTATTCACAGTTAACAAGACATGGAATCAATCTTAAGTATCCATCAATGGATAAATGACTAAAGAAAATGTGATACATATACACAATGGAATACTATGCTGCCTTTAAAAAGGAAAAAATCCCATCATTTGTGACAGCATGAATAAACCTGGAGAACATAATGTTAAGTAAAATAAGCCAGGCACAGGAAGACATGTACTGCATGATCTTGCTTATACGTGGAATCTTAAAAAGTCAAGCTCAAAAAAACAGAGTAAAATAGTGGTTACCAGGATCCAGGAGGAAGAGAGGGGGCCACTGAATGGGGGAGATACTGATCAAAGAATACAAAGTTTCCATTAGGGGGAATAAATTCAAGAGATTTATTATACAATAACAACATACCGGTCACTTAAAATTGCTGAGAGTAGATTTTAAGTGTTTCACCACACACACAAAAAAGTATGTGGGGTAATGTACATGTTGCTTGATTTAGCCATTCTACTATGTGTACATATTTTTAAACATCATGTTGTACACCATAAGTATATATGATTTTGTCAATTAAAAATAAATAATAATAAGTAGCTCCTCTCTCATGAGTCGGTTTTAAGGCTTGGATGAGCTAATGCAGGTAGACATTCCATAGTAGCTAGCTTATAAAATGTCCTAAGTAAATATCAATAATCTCATGATTTAACCTAGATAACAGAGAATGAGCCAAGGGTAGAAGCTAATAGGAAGTGCAGGTAGCTGGAGGGGTCACCTTTATTTTCCATGTGAAGCAGATGGCAAAGCCACCTTCCCACAGCGAAGACAAGGTGGTGATATTGGAGGCTTGGAGATGATGATGAAGACTGGTAGAAACAAATTCTGAACACCAAGGGACTAAGGACAGACAGGAGGATCATTGGGCAGTGGTACGTAGGTAGCTGAGATGGATGCCCATGAATTTGTAGAACTAGAAAATCACAACATTGTGTAATTTTTCTCCAGCAGCATCAGGAGCCCTGAGGGATGAACGAGGGCTAAGGGCTAGCCCAGCTGACTGGTTAAATAACAGACAGGATTTGAAGTGGAGGGCAGAGGTGGGTAAACAGATGTGGCAAGTTGTTCTGCAGTCACACTTCTGTGATAGGATATAAGGTGCAAGTATACTATACCAATGTTTTGATTCAAGCACACTATAGCAGTGTCTTGACTTGGAATTCAAGGGGTAATTTCTTCCATTTTCTACCTATATTTAGCACTTCCTTCGTCTCTACCCAACCTGATTAAACCCCTGTTCCATCCACATAAAAGGTCCCTAGAGGCAGGTGGCACTCATATCATACTCATACCATACCTTGTTACTGTATGGTACTTCTTATAATGCACACTGGATAATAAATGAACTCTGGTGTCAGGCTGCTTACACTCAGCCTATGAGACCTTGGACAAGTCATTTAAGATCATTGAGCCTCAGTTTCCTCATAAATAGAGTGGGGATCTTACTTTGCAGAGAAGGTGTAAAGTTTAGATTAAATAATCCATGTAATATGCTTATCACAGCTCCTGGCTATACCAAAGATTTCAGTAAACATTAGTTGTTAAATAATCAATACAATAATTTTAAACCAGCATGTAGAATGTTTGTTTGGTGTGCTGGACCACAGTGGTTCTGACACAAAAGGGAATGTAGTAATAACACAAAGTTAGTGGTAGAGTTCAGAGGAAAGACAGGAAAGAACATGAGGGCCACCACACGCTAGAGGCAGGTCTCCCCATCGGGCACTGCTGAAGGAAAGGCTGTTTGCCAGGGCCTTTGAGCACAGAAATCTTCTCCAACATAATTGAGAAATAAGTTCTTCATGCATTCCTAATTGGAGTATAGCAGATGGCAGAGACATTTGTTTAATGAAATATGTCCATTTGATTAAGTTAGGTCACTGGGGATTTACTGTTTCAATACAATTTTTGTTGCTACCCCTCCTCATGGGAGACCACGGCAGTTTAAAGGATTTTAACAAACTTGGATTAAAGGTTGGAGAGGGAAAAGTGCTGGTGGAGGATTCTAGCAACCCAATGCTAAGCTTCTGAGTTTCTGGCTTCATCTATATTTTTATCTGTGGTAAAGAACCATTGCACTGAATGTCTCTTGTGTGAGTTCTGCGCATGAGTGGAGCACAGAATTGATCAAGCAAACAGTTTGTGAGCCAACCAAAGTGAATGGATTGGGATCCTTCACATCCAGGCTGCCAGTTTCTTCCTCTGGGCCTCGCTTATGCTAATCCCTCTGGCTAAGATGCTTTTCCTATTTCCATATGTTTGAGGTCCCGCTTTTGAGTGATCAATGTGTGTATTTTTCTGTCAGGAAGACATTACAAAAACCCTCAAGATTCTTTATCTGAAGCTCTTTAATGACATACTACTTTCCACTTTGAATGATTTTTGCTCATGTCTATACAGGACTTCCTTAAAATAGGTTGATCTTCTTCCTCAAAGGTGAGGTCCACAGAAGTACAGAACAGAGAATGAAAGAAAGAGCGCTATTAGAGGTAGCAAGGCCCAAATCTCCTTTCCCTGACTTTCTGCTCAGCCTGGATCCCTGTGACCCTCTGCCCAACAAGGGAATGGGAATAGTTCATTCTGATTGGCTTTCTTCCCTTGGCCTCTGGAATACCACATGCTCCTCATCTTCTTCCAGACTCATTTGCTGCTTTCCTGAATCTTCAGTCTCCTTTGCTGAATCTTCTTTGTCTTCCAAGTTTCTAAATGTTGCAGTGCTCCAGGAGTCAACCCTCAGTCGTCCTATTTCTCCCTATTCTTTGTCCTGATGTGATCTCAATCAGCACCATGGTTTTAAATGATATCTGAGGTTCCAAATCACCCAAACCTATAACTCTAGTTCTGACAATTGTTGTGCAATCCAAACAAATATCTAACCACCTGCACTACATGTACATGAAGAAGTAGTAGGTACCTCAAATCTAACATTGTTAAAATAGAACTCTTGATTTTTACCCTACCCCCTCCATATCACTATCTACCCATTTCTCAGGTCTAAAACAGGAATGATCCTTTCGTCTTCTCTTATTCTTTTTTTTTTTTTTTTAATTATACTTTAAGTTTTAGGGTACATGTGCACATTGTACAGGTTAGTTACATATGTATACATGTGCCATGCTGGTGCGCTGCACCCACTAACTCGTCATCTAGCATTAGGTATATCTCCCAATGCTATCCCTCCCCCCTCCCGCCTCCCCACCACAGTCCCCAGAGTGTGATATTCCCCTTCCTGTGTCCATGTGATCTCATTGTTCAATTCCCACCTATGAGTGAGAATATGCGGTGTTTGGTTTTTTGTTCTTGTGATAGTTTACTGAGAATGATGGTTTCCAATTTCATCCATGTCCCTACAAAGGATATGAACTCATCATTTTTTATGGCTGCATAGTATTCCATGGTGTATATGTGCCACATTTTCTTAATCCAGTCTATCATTCTTGGACATTTGGGTTGGTTCCAAGTCTTTGCTATTGTGAATAATGCCACAATAAACATACGTGTGCATGTGTCTTTATAGCAGCATGATTTATAGTCATTTGGGTATATACCCAGTAATGGGATGGCTGGGTCAAATGGTATTTCTAGTTCTAGATCCCTGAGAAATCGCCACACTGACTTCCACAATGGTTGAACTAGTTTACAGTCCCACCAACAGTGTAAAAGTGTTCCTATTTCTCCACATCCTCTCCAGCACCTGTTGTTTCCTGACTTTTTAATGATTGCCATTCTAACTGGTGTGAGATGATATCTCATAGTGGTTTTGATTTGCATTTCTCTGATGGCCAGTGATGATGAGCATTTTTTCATGTGTTTTTTGGCTGCATAAATGTCTTCTTTTGAGAAGTGTCTGTTCATATCCCTCGCCCACTTTTTGATGGGGTTGTTTGTTTTTTTCTTGTAAATTTGTTTGAGTTCATTGTAGATTCTGGATATTAGCCCTTTGTCAGATGAGTAGGTTGAGAAAATTTTCTCCCATGTTGTAGGTTGCCTGTTCACTCTGATGGTAGTTTCTTTTGCTGTGCAGAAGCTCTTTAGTTTAATTCGATCCCATTTGTCAATTTTGACTTTGGTTGCCATTGCTTTTGGTGTTTTGGACATGAAGTCCTTGCCCACGCCTATGTCCTGAATGGTAATGCCTAGGTTTTCTTCTAGGGTTTTTATGGTTTTAGGTCTAATGTTTAAATCTTTAATCCATCTTGAATTGATTTTTGTATAAGGTGTAAGAAAGGGATCCAGTTTCAGCTTTCTACATATGGCTAGCCAGTTTTCCCAGCACCATTTATTAAATAGGGAATCCTTTCCCCATTGCTTGTTTTTCTCAGGTTTGTCAAAGATCAGATAGTTGCAGGTATGCAGCGTTATTTCTGAGGGCTCTGTTCTGTTCCATTGATCTATATCTCTGTTTTGCTACCAGTACCTTGCTGTTTTGGTTACTGTAGCCTTGTAGTATAGTTTGAAGTCAGGTAGTGTGATGCCTCCAGCTTTGTTCTTTTGGCTTAGGATTGACTTGGCAATGCGGGCTCTTTTTTGGTTCCATATGAACTTTAAAGTAGTTTTTTCCAATTCTGTGAAGAAAGTCATTGGTAGCTTGATGGGGATGGCATTGAATCTGTAAATTACCTTGGGCAGTATGGCCATTTTCACGATATTGATTCTTCCTACCCATGAGCATGGAATGTTCTTCCATTTGTTTGTATCCTCTTTTATTTCCTTGAGCAGTGGTTTGTAGTTCTCCTTGAAGAGGTTCTTCACATCCCTTGTAAGTTGGATTCCTAGGTATTTTATTCTCTTTGAAGCAATTGTGAATGGGAGTTCACTCATGATTTGGCTCTCTGTTTGTCTGTTGTTGGTGTATAGGAATGCTTGTGATTTTTGTACATTGATTTTGTATCCTGAGACTTTGCTGAAGTTGCTTATCAGCTTAAGGAGATTTTGGGCTGAGACGATGGGGTTTTCTAGATAAACAATCATGTCGTCTGCAAACAGGGACAATTTGACTTCCTCTTTTCCTAATTGAATACCCTTTATTTCCTTCTCCTGCCTGATTGCCCTGGCCAGAACTTCCAACACTATGTTGAATAGGAGTGGTGAGAGAGGGCATCCCTGTCTTGTGCCAGTTTTCAAAGGGAATGCTTCCAGTCTTTGCCCATTCAGTATGATATTGGCTGTGGGTTTGTCATAGATAGCTCTTATTATTTTGAAATACGTCCCATCAATACCTAATTTATTGAGAGTTTTTAGCATGAAGGGTTGTTGAATTTTGTCAAAGGCTTTTTCTGCATCTATTGAGATAATCATGTGGTTTTTGTCTTTGGCTCTGTTTATATGCTGGATTACATTTATTGATTTGCGTATATTGAACCAGCCTTGCATCCCAGGGATGAAGCCCACTTGATCATGGTGGATAAGCTTTTTGATGTGCTGCTGGATTCGGTTTGCCAGTATTTTATTGAGGATTTTTGCATCAATATTCATCAAGGATATTGGTCTAAAATTCTCTTTTTTGGTTGTGTCTCTGCCCGGCTTTGGTATCAGAATGATGCTGGCATCATAAAATGAGTTAGGGAGGATTCCCTCTTTTTCTATTGATTGGAATAGTTTCAGAAGGAATGGTACCAGCTCCTCCTTGTACCTCTGGTAGAATTTGGCTGTGAATCCATCTGGTCCTGGACTCTTTTTGGTTGGTAAGCTATTGATTATTGCCACAATTTCAGATCCTGTTATTGGTCTATTCAGAGATTCAACTTCTTCCTGGTTTAGTCTTGGGAGAGTGTATGTGTCGAGGAATGTATCCATTTCTTCTAGATTTTCTAGTTTATATGCGTAGAGGTGTTTGTAGTATTCTCTGATGGTAGTTTGTATTTCTGTGGGATCGGTGGTGATATCCCCTTTATCATTTTTTATTGTGTCTATTTGATTCTTCTCTCTTTTTTTCTTTATTAGTCTTGCTAGCGGTCTATCAATTTTGTTGATCCTTTCAAAAAACCAGCTCCTGGATTCATTGAGTTTTTGAAGGGTTTTTTGTGTCTCTATTTCCTTCAGTTCTGCTCTGATTTTAGTTATTTCTTGCCTTCTGCTAGCTTTTGAATGTGTTTGCTCTTGCTTCTCTAGTTCTTTTAATTGTGATGTTAGGGTGTCAATTTTGGATCTTTCCTGCTTTCTCTTGTGGGCATTTAGTGCTATAAATTTCCCTCTACACACTGCTTTGAATGTGTCCCAGAGATTCTGGTATGTTGTGTCTTTGTTCTCATTGGTTTCAAAGAACATCTTTATTTCTGCCTTCATTTCGTTATGTACCCAGTAGACATTCAGGAGCAGGTTGTTCAGTTTCCATGTAGTTGAGCGGCTTTGAGTGAGATTCTTAATCCTGAGTTCTAGTTTGATTGCACTGTGGTCTGAGAGATAGTTTGTTATAATTTGTGTTCTTTTACATTTGCTGAGGAGAGCTTTACTTCCAACTATGTGGTCAATTTTGGAATAGGTGTGGTGTGGTGCTGAAAAAAATGTATATTCTGTTGATTTGGGGTGGAGAGTTCTGTAGATGTCTATTAGGTCTGCTTGGTGCAGAGCTGAGTTCAATTCCTGGGTATCCTTGTTGACTTTCTGTCTTGTTGATCTGTCTAATGTTGACAGTGGGGTGTTAAAGTCTCCCATTATTAATGTGTGGGAGTCTAAGTCTCTTTGTAGGTCACTCAGGACTTGCTTTATGAATCTGGGTGCTCCTGTATTGGGTGCATATATATTTAGGATAGTTAGCTCCTCTTGTTGAATTGATCCCTTTACCATTATGTAATGGCCTTCTTTGTCTCTTTTGATCTTTGTTGGTTTAAAGTCTGTTTTATCAGAGACTAGGATTGCAACCCCTGCCTTTTTTTGTTTTCCATTGGCTTGGTAGATCTTCCTCCATCCTTTTATTTTGAGCCTATGTGTGTCTCTGCACGTGAGATGGGTTTCCTGAATACAGCACACTGATGGGTCTTGAGTCTTTATCCAATTTGCCAGTCTGTGTCTTTTAATTGGAGAATTTAGTCCATTTACATTTAAAGTTAATATTGTTATGTGTGAATTTGATCCTGTCATTATGATGTTAGGTGGTTATTTTGCTTGTTAGTTGATGCAGTTTCTTCCTAGTCTCGATGGTCTTTACATTTTGGCATGATTTTGCAGCGGCTGGTAGTGGTTGTTCCTTTCCATGTTTAGTGCTTCCTTCAGGAGCTCTTTTAGGGCAGGCCTGGTGGTGACAAAATCTCTCATCATTTGCTTGTCTGTAAAGTATTTTATTTCTCCTTCACTTATGAAGCTTAGTTTGGCTGGATATGAAATTCTGGGTTGAAAATTCTTTTCTTTAAGAATGTTGAATATTGGCCCCCACTCTCTTCTGGCTTATAGGGTTTCTGCCAAGAAATCCGCTGTTAGTCTGATGGGCTTCCCTTTGAGGGTAACCTGACCTTTCTCTCTGGCTGCCCTTAACATTTTTTGCTTCATTTCAACTTTGGTGAATCTGACAATTATGTGTCTTGGAGTTGCTCTTCTCGAGGAGTATCTTTGTGGCGTTCTCTGTATTTCCTGAATCTGAACGTTGGCCTGCCTTGCTAGATTGGGGAAGTCCTCCTGGATAATATCCTGCAGAGTGTTTTCCAACTTGGTTCCATTCTCCGCATCACTTTCAGGTACACCAATCAGACGTAGATTTGGTCTTTTCACATAGTCCCATATTTCTTGGAGGCTTTGCTCATTTCTTTTTATTCTTTTTTCTCTAAACTTCCCTTCTCGCTTCATTTCATTCATTTCATCTTCCATTGCTGATACCCTTTCTTCCAGTTGATTGCGTCGGCTCCTGAGGCTTCTGCATTCTTCACGTAGTTCTCGAGCCTTGGTTTTCAGCTCCATCAGCTCCTTTAAGCACTTCTCTGTATTGGTTATTCTAGTTATACATTCTTCTAAATTTTTTTTCAAAGTTTTCAACTTCTTTGCCTTTGGTTTGAATTTCCTCCCGTAGCTCAGAATAATTTGATCATCTGAAGCCTTCCTCTCTCAGCTCATCAAAATCACTCTCTATCCAGCTTTGTTCCGTTGCTGGTGAGGAACTGCATTCCTTTGGAGGAGGAGAGGCGCTCTGCATTTTAGAGTTTCCAGTTTTTCTGTTCTGTTTTTTCCCCATCTTTGTGGTTTTATCTACTTTTGGTCTTTGATGATGGTGATGTACAGATGGGTTTTCAGTGTGGATGTCCTTTCTGTTTGTTAGTTTTCCTTCTAACAGACAGGACCCTCAGCTGGAGGTCTGTTGGAATACCCTGCCGTGTGAGGTGTCAGTGTGCCCCTGCTGGGGGGTGCCTCCCAGTTAGGCTGCTCGGGGGTCAGGGGTCAGGGACCCACTTGAGGAGGCAGTCTGCCCGTTCTCAGATCTCCAGCTGCGTGCTGGGAGAACCACTGCTCTCTTCAAAGCTGTCAGACAGGGACATTTAAGTCTGCAGAGGTTACTGCTGTCTTTTTGTTTGTCTGTGCCCTGCCCCCAGAGGTGGAGCCTACAGAGGCAGGCAGGCCTCCTTGAGCTGTGGTGGGCTCCACCCAGTTTGAGCTTCCCGGCTGCTTTGTTTACCTAAGCAAGCCTGGGCAATGGCGGGTGCCCCTCCCCCAGCCTCGCTGCCGCCTTGCAGTTTGATCTCAGACTGCTGTGCTAGCAATCAGCGAGATTCCGTGGGCGTAGGACCCTCTGAGCCAGGTGTGGGATATAGTCTCGTGGTGCACCGTTTTTTAAGCCGGTCTGAAAAGCGCAATATTCGGGTGGGAGTGACCCGATTTTCCAGGTGCGTCCGTCACCCCTTTCTTTGACTCGGAAAGGGAACTCCCTGACCCCTTGCACTTCCCAGGTGAGGCAATGCCTCGCCCTGCTTCAGCTCGTGCACGGTGCGCGCACCCACTGGCCTGCGCCCACTGTCTGGCACTCCCTAGTGAGATGAACCCGGTACCTCAGATGGAAATGCAGAAATCACCCGTCTTCTGCATCACTCACACTGGGAGCTGTAGACTGGAGCTGTTCCTATTCGGCCATCTTGGCTCCTCCTCCCCCCCCGCCCCGCGTCTTCTCTTATTCTTATTACTCTAATCCCACCCATTCTTATTCCTCTAATCCCACCCACCCATTAGCAGTTTTATCAGTTATACCTCCAAAATATATCCTGAATCTCACCGTGTTTCAGCATCTCCTCTGCTAACAGCCCAGCCCCAGTCACCATTGCCTCTTGCCTCAGAAATTGCAACCACTTCCTTAGTGGTCTTCCTCTCTCCACTCCCAACTCCCTGTAGTTAACTCTTCACACTGCAGCATAGATCAGTAGACACATCCTCATTAGAACCTGCCTGTGGCTCCCCATCACACTCAGAACAAAACCTAAGATCCTTGAATGACCAGTGAAGGTCCTAAATCATCCAACCCACCTATCTCTGACATCAAATCCAACACTCTCCCTCTCATTCCCTACATTTCAACTGTGCTGGTCTTTCTGCCACTTGAACACACTAATCTTGCCCCTGTGATAGATCTTTTGCACTTGCTTCTGCTTGGTGTATTCTCCCCAACAGTTCTTTGCATGACTACCACCTCCCATTGCTCAGGCTGAACAGCATCCTCCCTTCAGAAAGGCCTTCCCTGACCACCTTAGCTAAAGTAGCCTCTCCCCTTTTTACTGACATTATCTTCTTTAAAGTGCTTATTGGTACCTGGATTATCTCATTTATTCATTTGTTTACATGTTTAATCTCTGCCCACTAGAATGTAAGCTTCTTGATGACAAGGCCTCTGTCTGTCTTGCTCACTATTGTCCACATTACCTGGCACTAAATAGGCAATCGAGAAATATTTGTTGATAGACTGCCTTGCTTCAGACAACACGGCTAGAAAGGGTAAGAGCTTGGGCTTAATTTCAACACCCTGGCCTCTCCATGTGTCTACCTCCTGAACTTCAGTGACTTCTATCTCTACTTCTTGAGCCATGTACTTCTACCTCTCATAACTGTTTTGCCCAGTATATCTTATTCCTCTTCTTTATTGAAAGATCTGGCCCTGGAATCCCCTCTGGCAGTCTCTTCCTATATTTTCTTACATATACATCCAAGTGAGGCTGATTCTTCATTTAATCCTTGATTTTCAGTCAAGGTTCTGAATTACCTTTGCCCATCCAAAGCCTCAATCCTGAGTTAACTCAACATTCAGACTTCTTTTCTCTACATCAGGGCAGCTTTGTGTACTGGAAAAAAAAAATCCAATCTAGCATCACTACAAATCTATCACCTCTAGTGCTGCCTGGCAATTCTCCAGTGGCTCCCTGTTTAATGCTCTTTCACATTTAACACAGTAGATGTTCCAACCCTCTTTTGACCTCACTAATCACCCACTCCATCACTCCCTTGATGTTCACTCAGAGCACATAACCTGCCATAAAGATGATGGAAGCCTAGGACTACTTTGTCTCCTGCACCTTTTAACTCCTCTTTCTCATATTAGCAACCCTTGCTTCTCTCCTGGATCCATTCCTGCAGTATTTAGGCATACGAAAATCTATCTGATCTTTTTTAAAAAAAAAAAACAAAGAAAAGATCCTATTTTCACATATCAGTTGACATCTTACTTTTCCCTTCTTCTTCAGAGCCAAGTTTCTAAAACATGTGACTACACTAGCTATCTTCTTTCTCTCAGCTCCCATTCTCTTGTGCATTCTTCATCCCATTGTCATACAGTGTTCTATTATTCCATTAAAACTACTCTTACCAAGGACACCAATAGCCTCTTTGTCATTAAATCCAAGGGCCAAGTTTTATTCCATTTCTATGATCTGTTCTTAATATCTCCACAACACTGAACACTTAATCATCCTTGAAATGGTGCTTTTTTGTTTTAGTTCCATATAATTATAATCCCTTATAGTCCTCACACTCGTCCAGCAATTTCTTCTAAATCTCCTTCTAAGTCTCCTCTTCCTCCACTCTTCCATTGAATTTTGATGTCCACTAGGGTTTTAACCTAACAGACATCACCTTCCCTGACCACCTTAGTTAAAGTAGCTTCTCTCCTTTTTACTGACTTTATCTTCTTTTTTTTTTTTTTTTGAGATGGAGTCTCGCTCTGTCACCCAGGCTGGAATGCAGTGGCACGATCTCGGCTCACTGCAACCTCCGCCTCCCGGGTTCAAGCGATTCTCCTGCCTCAGACTCCTGAGTAGCTGGGATTACAGGTATGTGCCACCACACCCAGCTAATTTTTGTATTTTTAGTAGAGATGGGGTTTCCCCATGTTGGTCAGGCTGGTCTCAAACTCCTGACCTCGTGATCCACCCACCTCAGCCTCCCAAAGTGCTGGGATTACAGGCATGAGCCACCACGCCTGGCCAACTTTATCTTCTTTAAAGTGCTTACTGGTACCCAGATTATGTCATTTTCTTATTTATTTACATGTTTAATCTCTGCCCACTAGAATGTAAGTTCCTTGAGGAAAAGGCCTCTGTCTATCTCGTTCACTGCTGCCCACTTTTCTTCTTGCTTCAAATCCTCTTCTTTTTCAGAGAAACCTTATTCAGTCACATAACTCTGATCATCACACATGTGCTGCTCACCACCAAAGTCTGTATCTCCAGCCTTGATCTCTCTCTTTTGAACATCAGGCTTATTTATCTAATTGCTTAGTATACTTTAAATGCCCTGAAAGCACCTAAATTTTAAAATGCCCAAAGCTGAATTTGTGATTTCTTTTTTCCAAGTTTAACCTATACCCAGCATTCATTCTCTCAGCAAATTGCACATTCAACTACATAGTTGCCCAAATACAAAACCTAAGAACTATCATATATGTATATGAACTATCATATATCTATGAACTATCACATATCTATATATGAAGTATCACATATCTATATATGAACTATCACATATCTATATATGAACTATCATATATCTATATATGAACTATCATATATAAATATATATATGAATATATATAAATATATGTATGAGTATATATATATATTTTTTTTTTGCAGGGGGGGATGGAGTATCACTCTGTTGCCCAGGCTGGAGTTCAGTGGCATGATCGCGTCTTACTGCAACCTCTGTCTCCCAGATTCAAGCTATTCTCCTGCCTCAACCTCCAGAGTACCTGGGATTACATGTGTGCACCACCACGCCCAACTAATTTTTGTATTTTTATAGAGATGGGGTTTTGCCATGTTGGCCAGGCTGGTCTTGAACTTCTGACTTCAGGTGATCCACCTGCCTCAACCTCCCAAAGTGCTGGGATTACAGGCGTGAGCCACTGTGCCTGGCCTATCCTCAATATCTTTAACTTCCCTACCTCCCACATTTAATTTGGCAGGCTAATTTTACCGTCTTCTTCAATTCATCTCCATAGTTCACATCCACTCCGTGAGTTTATAGAATCAGCTGCACTGCTGGTCTCCTTCTGGGCTTTCTCTTCCTAAACAAATGACCTCACTACAGCCAGACTGATCTTTCAAAGTTCAAATTTATTCATGACATTCTCATATCTTGAAATTTTTGATAGCTCCAAATGGCCTTTAAAATAAATTTCAAATTCCTCTTCATGATATGTAAGGTCCTAATGCTAAACTACTGTACCTCTCTCCAGACTAAATTCTTGTCACTCTTCCTCCTATGCTCAGCTCTGTAACTATTTACCTTTTACAGTATATACACCAGGCATGTTCTCACTCACTTCCAGATGTTTGCTCATGTTCTTCTTGTTGCCAAGTTCAATCTTTCTCTACTCTGTTCCCCGGTATCCCTTATGCATTCTTTAGGTTTCTGATTATATATCACTTCTTCTGGAGGCCTTCTAGAGGCTCTGTCTCTCTGAATCTGGGTGTAGTGTTCAAATTCCCATAGCACTGAATTTACCCGTATTGTGGCTCTCATCACTGTGCTTTTTAATTGGCTTTTTAAACAATTTTGTTGTAATTTACATACCATAAAATTCACCAATTTTAAGCATACAATTTAATGAATCTTCATGTGTTTACAGTTGTAGAACAATCTCAACAATCTAATTTGAGGACATTTTTATCAGCCCTCCTTCCTAGTTTGTAAGCAACTTGAGTGCCATGCTTTCTTGATCTTTAAACCCTAAGAGCAGAGCGTAGTATCTGTCACCAAAAAAATTTCCGTTGAACAAATAAAAAATAAATGAAAGGAAAAAATTAATGTCAAAACCATGACATGCTGCATTTCTCTTTATCAGATATGGCAAACTAATTTTGAAGCTCTCACTTTCATTCACATTTTCTTTTTTTTTTTTAGGTTATCTGATTTAATGATTTAATATATTTATAAATAAATTTCATTACAAAATATAAAATAGCTTAGATGCTCTGAATTACAAGCCACAAAGAATAGAACATCTAATATCCAAAAGTAGCAATTAATAACAGAAAATTGCAATATTTGAATATTATAACCTATGAAGAAACACTTTTTTTTTTTTTTTTGTAATTTTCTATCCTCTTTCTGACATTTCACCAACTTCCATATATGGCAGTCACTAATGAATTTGCTCTGACACAGAAAATAAGACTTTAAAATATTGAAGGAACCAAAAGATCACTGTGCATTTATGAGTGATTCAAGCACATCTAGAAACTCAGATCTGGCCCAAATGAAGCTATGTTTTCTCCCCGCAAACACCTGAGATTTCCATTGCTAGTTCACCTACATGGCTTAAGGTGAAATGTCAGCTTCTTGAGTTCTATTCTTTTTTCCTGTCCTCCTAAAATCTTCAGGCTAAGAGTCAAGAGTCCTGCATTCAGGCCATAAATATGTCAACAATTTGCCAAGCAGCTTGAGGGAAATCACATCTCCAGGTCTGAGTTTCCTCATAATATGCATCTTATCTCTCCCCACCCTGGTTTAGACAGGATGAAGTAGGCTAAAAGGCAAAATAAAGCACTGTAAAAAGTGAAAAGCATCATGCAAATGTAACAGGTTTTTAACTGGCTACCAGACTCTCTGGTTTATAGTAATCACCTCATTTGTTTAAAGATGCTTTTCTGATGACCTAAACTACTAATACTACCTAAAATTAGACATTCAAACATACAAAATCCTTCATGCATAAAGCTGATACACTTTGCAAAAGGGAAAGAATTTCTGTTTTCTCCCAGAGCCTGTTCTTATTTCGCAAACAATTCTAATGAACATGGTTTTATTATTTCCCAAACCATAGCAGATTAGAAATAAAAAATCAGAAGGAGTAGAGGAGCTATTACAGGCAAATACGCTGAGAACAGGAAGGTTGAAAGATGACAGCAAGGGAAAAAACAGAAACACATACAAAAGTGAATATAAGAATTCAGGAAATTGCAGCCAAGGGACATTCAGAGTGGAGATACATAGTTCTTCCCAGCAAATGAATCCTACAAACCAAAAGATCACTACTCATGATGGTGATTCTGAGTCATTAGGAGATTCTAGTGCTTGAGAATCAATTCTAAAGACAGCATATCTTTAAAAAACTCCTGCTCTTTAAGTCTTAACACAGAAATGAAAACAGAAATTACCTTTGCTCTCTAAGTTACTAAATTAGTGTTTTTGGTAGCAAAATGACATTGACTTTTCATGGTATACCCAAGACGGGTGACTGAAGCTACTTTATTATATTTCCCAAATCTTTTGAGACAAGATGATAATATTCTTCATTCTTAGTTGAGAAATAACCCTTCCCTTCCCACTTGTAAAATGTTACAGTCACTTTGGAAAACAGTTTGACAGTTCCTTATAAAATAAACATACACTTATTTTATAACCAACCACAGAATTATTTAGAGAAGAGACAACTCATAAAACATATTGGGTATATGTCAGATGATCTAGAGACTCAGTCAGCATATAACTTCCTACAACTTAATATAGTTTGTAATTGTACATTTATGTTTGTGATTATCAGCTTTAGTCTCACTCCCCTACTAACCAATAAGCTCCATATTGACAAGGTTTATGTCTGTTTTGAACTCACCATTGTATCTCTGAAGACTAGTGGAGTGCCTGGCATATAGAGACTACTCACTGCATAAGTGCTGTTGGTGCAGGAATTAATGCAATGGGAAGTATCTCACCTACCATATTTGGAAAGCAACATGATATTCTGGCAAAAGAGTCATTGTCTTAATTTCTTTAATATCCAATTAAGATAACTCTGGAAGTTAGTAAAACCTGAAAGGATGGCACTATATGTATTAGAGATAAGGGACCTGTGGTAAAGAGAAATAAAAACATATACCATATAGTTTCCCTGCTGGAAGAGATGGACCACAGATTCATTCCCATATGCTTTCTACCACTCCATACATGGGAAAGAAATTGATGTGATATGGGCCTGAAGATGTCAAGTACATTTTTAAAATTATCTTCGGGGAAGTTTTATTTATAGATATTCAAATAGACAAGACAATGCATTACTAAGAAGAGAGAAAAAGCAAGAAGGTAAACAATTTCTTCTTGGAATTCTATCTGTCTCTGGGTATGTGATCCACTAGCAAGACTGTTTACAAGACACTTTCAAAGTCCCTGGAGATGGTTTGGGCTTAATTAAAACCTGCTTATTTTGTCCCTGAGATCTGAAGTGAGCTATGAAATTAAAACAATTGACTTTGTCAGGTTTCATGTTTCCTCCCATCTCATACCCAAAAAATTAACTTCTCATCAGACTGACAAATAGACATTGCACCTGGATTATCATCATTATAAATTTGTGCCCCTCTGTAATTACCCTTCTTAATTAGCCTGGGATGTTTCAGGACATAGTCAATAATATTGATAATTCTTCACCTAGTACAGTGACTGTTACACAGTAGACATCATTTGTTGAGAGAAAAGATGATGGACAAACAGATGGATAATCATAATTATAATCACAACTATGGTAGTAGAAACCATCAATCCCCCTAAGATACTGATGAGTGATATATCAGCCACAGCAGCAGCATCCATTGTAATAGCATTGCGTTGTTTACATTGTGACTAGCACTACAAAAATAATATCTGAATATCTATATGCCAAAAAACCCTCAACTCATCCTTCCCATCCCCTATAAAAATTGAGTTAAAATGTATTATCCACCTAAATGTTAAAATTAAAACTATAAAACTTCTAAGATAAAACATAGGATAAAGTCTCCACAATCTTAGATTAGGCAAAGATTTCTTAGACACAGCACCTTAACCATGATCTATCAAAGAAAAGGTGAAAATTGGATTTCATTCAAATCTAATCCAAAATTCAAAAGTTCTACTTCACAAAAACACTGTTCAGAGAGTGAAAAGATAAACCACAACCTGGGATAAAATATCAGCAAAATACATATCTAACAAAGGACTTGTATCCAGAGCACACAAAGAATTCTCAAAATTTGATACTAAGAAGAATAGCCCAATAAAAAATGGGCAAAAGGTTTGGACACATACATCATCAAATATATATCAATGGCAAATAAGCAAGCAAAAAGATGTTCCACAACATTAATCATCAGGAAAATTCAAATTAACACTCCAGTGAGATAACATTACACACCTCTATGAATGGCCAGAATTTAAAAGATTGACCATACCAAGTGCTAGCAAGAAAGTGGACAAATTATAATCCCTATACATCTTGGAAAGAATTGTAAAATGTTACAGTCACTTTGGAAAATAGTTTGGCAGTTCCTTATAAAATAAACATACATTTATCACACAACACAGCAATCATACTCCTAGATATTCACCAAGTGACATGATGACTTATAGTCACCTAAAACCTTGTACATGTTTATGGAAGCTTTATTCACAATCACACCATACTGCAAACAACACAAATATCCTTCAGCTGCTGAATGGATAAACAAACTGTGATATATCTATACCATAGAATACTATTCAGCAATAAAACGAAAAGAAATACTGATACACACACACACATATACATAAACACATATATATGTAAAACAATGTGGATAAATTTCACATGGTATACTCAGTGAAAGAAGACAGACTCAAAAGGCTACATATTATATGGTTCCATTTAAATGACATTCTCAAAAGGGCGAAATTACAAGAATAGAAAATAGATCAGTGGTTTCCAAGTCTGAGAGTGGATGTGGGGTTGACTAGAAGGGCAAAAAAGTAGTACTTTCTTGTGGTGATGGAACTGTTCTGAATTTTGATTGTGGTGGTGATTATGTGACTGCATGTATTTGCCAAAAGCTCATTAGAACTATATGCAAAAAAATAGTAAATTTTACTGTATGTAAAATGCTTTAAAAGAACATATGTTGCATTCTAAGAAAAAAACACAAAAACATCTAGCCAGAAATCTAAAAATATTTTTTAAATAATAATAATAATAGCTAACATTTGTTGAGACCTTACTATATGATAGGCATGTAGTAAGGTGCCTTATCTGTGCTAAGACTTTTTGCACTGCATCTCATTTAATTTTCACAACAACCTTTTGAGATAGGAACTATTGTTATTCCCTTTTACAGGTAAGGAAAAGGAAAGTCACAGAAGTTAAGTATCTTTTCTCTGATCTCAGTTCACAGCCCAGGTCACAGGACTTCGGATGATATACTCTAATCCATTACACTACATGGCATCCCACCGATACAATGGCAGGAAACTGAACTGGAAGCCAGAGTCCAGTCTCAACCCTGGTCTGCAACTAACACAGTATGAGCATAAACAAGTACCTAACCTGTCTATGCTTCCCTTTCCTTATATTAAAATTCAAAGCACTGGAAAAAGATGACTTCTCAGTTTCCACTTAATCCTAGTTTATAAATCGATGAATAGCTTTTAGTTACTTGCTGCTTAAAAAGATCAATGTTTCTGTCTCATTCCAGGCTCTTTCCCTGCCCTCCTGCTGCCCTGCTGAGTCCTAGTGTGTAAAATTCCACCATTAGTTTTTTTTTATTCCTAAGGCACGGTGGCTTCAGAATCGTACAGTGCATATGACATAACCTTGGGTTCTAGTTGTTCAGTCTAGAAGATGAGAAAGAGAGATAAGCAACCAACAGTAATGAAGAATGTTGTGTTGCATGTTAAGGGTTTTGCTGTGAAGCAGTGATATTTAGAGTGGTGGACCAGAACATGGGCTCTGGAGACAGGGAGAGCTGGGTTTAAGACCTCTTTCATTCTTAGTTTCTTCATCTATAAAACAAGATTGTATCAAGATGTATGAGACTGCTATAAGCCTAAATGAGGTACTACACATAAAGCACATGGAACTCTGGGTGATAAGATGATTAGTCTTGTTCATAACTATTTTTATGTTATTAATGAGATAGATAATCTTCTGGGATCAAAAAGGAAAGGAAAAAACAAATGCTCAGAGAAAATCAGTAATTTGCTCAAGGTCAAGTAGCTAATAGAATTAAGAACACTAGACAGGCAGGGCACGGTGACTCATGCCTGTAATCCCAGCACTTTGGGAGGCTGAGGCAGGCAGATCATGAAGCCAGGAGCTCGAGACCAGCCTGACCAATATGGTGAAACCCTGTCTCTTCCAAAAATACAACAATTTGCCGGGCGTGGTGGTATGCACCTGTAATCCAAGCTACTCAGGAGGCTGAGGCAGGAGAATCGCTTGAACCTGGGAGGCAGAAGTTGCAGTGAGCCAAGATTACACATTGCAATCCAGCCTGGGTGACAGAGCGAGACTCCATCTCAAAAAATAAAAATAAAAAATAAAGAAAAAAAAGAATACTAGACAGATCAGTGTAGCACTTGAATGAGAGAGTTGACTGACTGCTTCCTATCATCCGTGAAATTCTATATATCTCTGACCTTGTTGAATAAGCTGTATCCTTCATATTTCTTTGAGATCTCCCTCCCATTAGCATCTGTAACTAGGAGTTGGCAAGAACTATAAAACCCTACTCTCCTGGGTCATGGGGGAAGGGTCCCTCAAGAAGATTGATCTCTCCATCTTTCTTTAGGATACAGATTGTTCCCATAGGAAATATGACTGCCCAGAAATGATGCTGTATTTGGCACTATCTCCACTCACTATTATCTTCTGTTTCTCACAGGAGTCATCATCTCTGGCACCTTCTGGAATTACACTTTTGTGATTTTTTTCTTTTTATTTGTTCCCTCTCAAAGTAGTTATATAATTAACAATGCTTGAAGTCTCTATATATCACTCTACAGCTGCAGTTCTCAACCACAGTTGATTGTATACTCCAGGGCACACTTGGCAATATCTAGAGACAATTTTAGTTGTCACAGTCAGGGGGAATAGGGTAAGTTTGCTGGCATTCAATAAGTAGAGGCTATGGATGCTGCTAAACATCCTACAATACAAAGAAAAACCTCCAACAAAGAATTATCTGGCTCCAAATAACAATATTGCCAAGATTAAGAAACCCTGCTCTAGGCTGACAAAAGTGCTTTCACCTCTGCTTGCCCATTTGATGCTTATCACATCCTTAGGATGAAAGCCAGGTCAATACCCACACCCATGCCCAAAGTCCTCCTTATATTAAGGAGACAGATAGACACCCTCGCTATTAAGCTGAGGAACTGAGACCCAAGGAAGTAGAGTGAGTGATCCAAGGCCACAAAATGAGGTCGAAGCAAAGTCAAGACTTTGAATTTCCTGACTCTCCGTGCTACCTCACTGTCAGCATGTTTTTAAGAAATGTATTACAAAGTTTTTTCTCCTCTGGCCAATGAGAGTGTTAGAAAGCCAGAAAACCTTAAAGTCATAAATAAATACACCCTCTTAAAGTCATCATAGAATATTAGCTTGGGAAAGATCCTTAGAGATTATTTAATTCAATTCTATCATTTTACAGACGGGAAGAAAATAGACAACCATGCCATAAAAGAGATGCAGTTGTAGAGCAGAGTATACCAAAATCCCTTTCCCTTCTGTTCACCCATCAAGCAGCCTATTGGCCACTGCAATGGAGAAATCTTTTTAAACCTTAGGATGGTCTATATAAATGCATTTATATAAGAAAGATAAAGAGGGAATTATAGGGAAACAAACTCAGGCATCAGACAAGGGAAGGTAGGTTGGTTGCTATTGGAAAGCACAAAGAAGGGACAGGAGCAAAAGCAGGTTAAGTGAAGACTAAAAGAAATAGGAAAAGCGAAAAAGAAAAGAGAAATAAATTACATATTCCTTTTGTGTTCTGGAATTCCCATGTGCCTCATAAGAACTAAGAAAAGACAATCTGTCACACAAACTAAACAGTACTTAAAAAAATTTTACCATTACTTTCTAACCATAAAGGTAATATATGACTCTAATTTTTAAAATGAATATTATAGAAAAATATGAGCATAAAATTTTTCTCAGTTTCCCACCCTTCTGAGATAACATCTATTAGCAACTTAATCTATGTTTTAACTCTATATTCTGTCATTTTTATATTACAAGCTATTAAGTGTTTAACTTTCCTTACAAAAATGGTATCTACACAAAATATATGGTGCCTGATTTTTTACTTGAATAAATAATGAACATATTTTCACATTGGTACACAAAAAGACATTATTTTTAAGTTGACACCATATTCTATTATTTGGATATATCATAATTCACTATTGATAAATACACATTTTTATTCTTGTGTGAGTACTTTCACATAATAATTCCTAGAAGTCTAGTTGCTATGGAATCATGCAGTAGAATATGTACATTTAAATTTTAATGGTCAAATTGCCTAAATAACAACTATCAATTTTAACTCTTCCCAAACTGATAGTTTATATCAGTGGCCGCCTCCTCCTTGAAGCAGCCCCTGATTCTGCCAGCTGAAAATTAGCCCTCGTCCTCAGAACCTATCTACCTTTTATCTATATGCTTCTTTCAGTCTTCTCTCTCCTCAGTGGCAGCCCCATATCTGCGTTAACTTCTATTATTTTCCTGATGTCAGCACCTGGAACAGGAAAATCAGATGAGAAGAAAATGAGTGTAAAGTGAAGATCCCAGGGTTTCATTAACCACTTTCAGCTCCTTCCTGTTTCTGCTGATCTCACCTGAATAGGTTCTACCAAACATGCATCTTAGCCAGATGTGCCAACCAGTGAAAAATGAATTAAGAAGGACAGCTAATTAGAAGATCAAACAACCCATAGAACTGAGTAACTCAGACCTTGTGGAGATGTTTCACTGCTCCAAATGGCCTAAATAAATCAGGGGCCTTCTAGGGATGGTCCTATATGCTTTATCCCGAAAATTAAAGGAGAGTGTCAATTTTCTCTCTTAAGATGAAAACTCTGAAATGAAACCATAGAAAAGAGTCAGGACTGGAATAAGAGATCAACTATCTTCAAGTGCTTACCCTGGACAGAAATGCCCAGTCTTCCTGAAAGCCTATTCCCTGGAATACCAGGCCCATGATACACTTTAGAAAATAAAAGACTGGTTCAAATATGTTGGTAAACACCACACACTTTATTTCCTCTTAGCTATTCACAAAGCACATTTGCAACCTAGAATCTGTGAAGAGGCTTTAAGAAATCTTCTGCTGCTAAGAAACCTGTTTAACGTATTGATATTCCAAGTTACTCACTTTGGAAAACATGACCGGGGCCAAATCTCACTTCCATTCTTCCTGTCCTGCCCTCTTGGGTCTCTGCTCAAGAGATGGGTGCTGTTTGGGAATCACGGAAAGCCACTTTAAGAATTGTAAAGCAATATACTAATATTCAGGACTGTTCTTATCAATAACAGTCAGATATTAAATTAATACTCAAGTACTATATACCTACCACCTACTAGAGGTCGAGTAGTAGGAATATAATAGTCAGTAAGCAGCAATCTCCTATTCTCTGGTCTAGTCCTGGGAGTGGTCCAATCTTCACTCATGCTCTCTCTACTCCCAGCCCTGAAACCCCCCAAAAACCCTCAATGGTTCGCGGACCTTGGAGGAGGCACTTTGCTGGGTAAAAAGAACTGTTACTGTTTTAAAAAAAAAAAAAAAAAAAAAAAAAAAAAGGCACCAGGAAGTGGGTTCTCCTGTGCTCTCTGAGTTGGGATTTGAGAGAAAATCTAATAGAAAGATAAGGTTACCTCTGTTCACATTTCCATGTAAACAAAACACAGAAGCTATGAGCGCTCTGCCAGATTCTTCTTATCTGTGAAATTATATGAACACGCAAACCCTGAGAGCTCAGTTATTTAAGTTCTCTTATTGTTAAAACAACCAGAAGCATATGGAATGTTTCTGAGATTTGTCCTGGGGGTCTGGTAAATGTGTGGAGGTTGAATCCATCATGTCTCTGAATGTTATAGTACAAAACTAAAAGTCTCAAGATGAGCTATTAACAGCATATGTACAAAAAAAAGGGGTGCTCATATGTTATCAGTGGGAGGGTAATACTTGCATAGTATTAGTACAACCTTTGTGTAGAGTAATTTGCAATATCTATCACACATTAAATGCACATACCACTTGACTCAGAAGTTTACTTACTAACTCATCCAACAAATATTTATTGAGCACTATTGGAGGTGCTGAAAATAGTCCCCTAAAAAAACCAACAAAGCCTCACCCATAGTGCTTACATTCTATTGGGGAAAAGGCCTGCAATAAACAGATAAAGAAGAGAATACATAATATTTCAGGTGATGCTAAGTCACATGCAGAAAAACAAATCAGGTTAAAGGGAAGGGAGAATTCCAAAGTGGGATGAGGGTATTCAGGGAAGGCCCCTCTGATCAAGTAAAAACTGAGCAAATGCCTGAAGGAAATGAGGACATGAGCTATGTGTACACCTGGGGAAAAGAATATGCCAGTCATGGGGATGGTATGTATTTTGAGATCATAGAGTACTTGCATTTTAAGGAAGATAAATGAGGTCAACATAACCAGAGCAAAGTAAGCAAAGCAGGAGCTCAAAGAGCTGCAGGATCCAGAGCAGACAGGAATCACAGGTCAGATTATATAGAACCCTCCAGGCCAGAGTATGAACTTTGATTTTTACTCTGTGGAAAATGGGATGCCATTGGGAAGGTCTAAGCCTAGAAATTAGTTCTTAGAGAACCAGTGTGAGCTCTTGTATGGAACAGATTGTAAGGAAGCAATACAGGAGGAGACAAGGAGACAACTGCAATAATCCAAGGAAGATACAAGGGTGGTTGGACCAGAGTGGTAGCCATGGAGTGGGGATAAGTGATCATAGGGCAAGATTTGCTGAAAGTTTGGGTATGTGTAGGAGAAACAGAGGCAGCAGGGATGACTACAAGGTTTTTGGTCTGAGCCACTGGAAGGGAAGAATGCTATTTACTAAAATAGGGACAGGTTCAAAGAAACAGGTTTTGAGGGGTGGATGCAGGCAAGTTAGGAGTTCAGTTTTAGATATGTTGAGCTTGAAAGCATGTTAGATGTCCAAATGGAGATATTAAGTGAGAAAATGAATACACAGATGAGGATTCAGGGCAGAAATCACAGTGAGAACACATATTTTGGAGTTGTCATTGTATGGTATTTAAAACCACGAAACAGAGAAAGATCACCTAGGAAGTGGGTCTAGACAGAACAGAAAAGAGGGCCATATTCTAGGGATTTATCTTATCCATATATTCATAAACATATGAAAAGTGACAGGTGTATGAGCACATTCATAAAAGTGTTATTGTGTCAAAGATTGAAAGCAACAAAAACCCATTGATAAAGAACTGGAAAAGTCAATTATAGTACAACCTTACAATGGAATTGTAAGGTTATTCAGTAGTCTTTAAAAAATGGAGACCACTTTCTGCTAACATCATACTTAAAGGTAACAAATGGAATTCTTCCCCCACAAAGCTCAGGAATAAGGCATGGAAATCCACTCTCACTCAGTATAGTGCTAGAACTTCTAGCTATTGCAATAAGGCAAGAAAAAGAAACAAAAGGCATATTAAATAGAAAAGAAATAAAATTTTCTCTATTTATAAATGACATGATTATCTATATAAAAACTCCCAGGGTATCTATTAAAAATAATTCCTAGAACTGTTCAGCATTAAGTGGGTTCAGGAAGTTTGCAGGAAACAAGACCAAAAAACAAAAGTTAATCTCATTTCTATATACTACAATGAACTTGTGGAAAATGAAATTCAAAATAGTACCATTTACAACTGCTCCAAAAAAAAAAAACAGATATGAACTCAACAAAACTTGTACAGAGCATTTGTATGCTAAAAATTGCACAATGCTTATTAATCAAATACAGAGCATATGCTGCTCATAATAAATATTCAACATGGTAAAGATGTTGCTTCCCCCAAATTGATCTATAGACTTAATGCAATTACTACTTAAACTTCAGAAAGGATTTTATAGACATAGACAAGCTTATTCTGAAATTCATGTGGAAAGGCACAGTCCCTAGAATAGCTAAAGCAATCTTGACAAAGAAGAATAAAGTGAAAGGAGTAAGTCTACCTGATTTTAAGACTTATTATATATTATAGTAGTCAAGACAGTGTGGTACTAGTGGATGGATAGACACATAGCTCAGTGAAACAGAAGAGAAAACCCAGAAATAGAACCATACAAATATACACAATTGACTTTTTATAAAGGTGCAAAAGTAATTCAATGGAGGAAGCATATCTTCTTCAACAAGTGGTGCTAGAATAATTGAAGATCAATAGGCATAAATAAATAAATAAACCTAAATCACACATTATATACAAAAATTAACTTGAAATAGGTCATGGACCTCAACATAAAATATAAAACTATGAAACTTTTGGGAAAATACATGGAGGAAAATATTCTGGATCCAGAACTAGGAAAAAAACTATTAGACTTGACTTCAAAAGCATGATTCATTAAAGGAAAAATTGATAAATTGGATCTCATCAAAATTAAAAACTCTCACTCTATGAAAGCCCATGGGAAAAAGATGAAAAGACAACCTACAGTCTGGGAGAAAATATTTGCAAGCCACAAATCCAATAAAGGACTAGTATCTAAAATATATCAGAACCTCTCAAAATTCAGTAGTAAAAAAAAATCCAATTAGAAAATGGATAAAATACATGAACAGACATTTCAAATAAGAGGATATACAGATGAAAAAGGCACATAAAAAGTTGTTCATTAGCCATCAGAGAAATGCAAATTAGAAACATAATGGAATATCATTATACACCAATCAGAATGGCTTAAATAAAAAATAGTAATGCCACTAACTGCCAGCACAAATGCAGAGAGACTAGATCACTCACACATTGCTGGTGGGAATATAACATGGTATAGCCATTGTGAAAAAAGAGCTTGGCAGTGTTTTGTTAAAACTAAATGCAATTATCATACAAACCAGCAGTCACACACTTGGGCATTTATCACAGAAAATTAAATACTTATGCTCACAAATATTCTGTGTACAAATACTCATAGCAGCTTTATTCATAATAATAAAAAACTGGAAACAGTCCAGATGTCCTTCAACAGATAAATGGTGAGACAAACTGTGGTACAGTCATATATATACAGTTATGCATCGCTTAACGATGGGTATCCATTCTGAGATATGCATTGTTGGGTGATGTTGTTTTTGTCCAAACATCAGAGTGTATCTACACAAACCTAGATGGGATAGCCTACTACAAATTAGTCTCTATGGTTTAGCCTATTATTCCTAGGCTACTAATCTGTACAGCATGTTACTGTACTGAATACTGTAGGCAATTGCAAAACAGTGGTAAATATTTGTGTAATTACACATAACTAAAGAAAAAGCACAGTAAAAATGCACAAATATAATCTTATGGGACCACCATTGCATATGTGGTCCATTGTTCAACAAAATGTTATGTGGTGGATGACTGTACATATTCAGTAATAAAAATGAAACAATCTGTTGATGCAGAGAACTTGAATGAGTCTCCAGGGATTTATGTTCAGTGAGAAAAAAAACAGTTCCAAAAGGTAACATATTATAAGATTCCATTCATATAACATTTTTTAATGATAACTATTTAGAAATGGATAACAGATGAGTGGTTGACAGGGGTTGGGACAGAGAAGAGGTGAAAGGAAGTGGGTGTGACTATAAAAGGGCAACACGAGATCCTCATTCAGGGTCTTGAATGTGGTAGCAAAGACACAAATCTGCACATAATGAAACTGCATATAACTGAACATGCATACACACAACAAAAAACCCTATATGGCTGCTATTCCAATCACCAACGGAGTGTGAGCCAAGCAGCAAGGGCTATGAACAGAGTCGGGGGAGATCTTAAAGAGTTGAGGTGGGAGGTTTCCCTTAGCAGGTGGAATGACTTTGACCTTGAAGTTCAGAGAGAATTTGAAAAAGAGGGGACCAGTTTAAAGATAGCTGGGTGAACTAATAACAGAACCGATAACTGATATTTTTACAACGTTCTAGAGAGTGCCAAGTATGTTCAAATTATTAGAGGGCTAATAAAAGCCCCCTGAAATGACCATCAACATTTTGCCGATGTGCAAACTAAAGAAGAGAGGAACTAAATTATGTTCTTAATGTCTCAGATCTCTTAAGGGAAAGAATAGAAGGTAGGGGTCATGGCTGCTAAAGATTCACTCATTCTACCCCATCTCAAAAAACAAAACTACAGATGGTCAATATAGTTAAGATGCATGAGGCTTTATGTCCAGTCCAGTCAAAAGCAGCTCTACCACCAGAGAAGAAAATTTTCACCTGGAAAACTGAAAATAGCCAAATCTTTTGTTTGGTTCTAGATGCATCAATAAGGAAGGAGGATAAAAAACAGCTTCTACTGAGTCTTTACCATGTGCCAGCCATTGTGCTGAATGCTTTTCATAAATTGCTTATTTTACCGTCACAATAATCTTTTGATGTCAATATATTTAACCCTGATTTTGCAGAAAAGAACCCTGGAGAATAAACAGCATGACCCAGGTCACAAAGCCATAACACGACCAAGTTAAGATGTAACCCAAACTGGTCTGCTTCAACACCCAATGCTATTTCCACAACATGTGGAATAGGTATCATGTTTTGCTAAGACTCCCAACACATTGCTCTGAATTTTCTTAATGCAATGGTATATTTTCAAAACAAATAAATAAATGTCCAGCCTGGAATTTTAAGAATATGTATTTAAAATAGTAGTTTTGTCACGTATTTACTATTTTCTATTTCGTCTTTCAATCTTTATAACCATTTAGTAGATGAAGAAAACAAGGCTAATGTGTTCTTCTGCTCATTAATTAGAATCTGCTTTGTCCACTTACAATTGCAGATATGTAAACATCAGAGCTGGGAGGAGGATCCTAACATATAGACTATCTCATCTAACCTGGTCATTTTATGAATGAGAAAACAGATACCTAGAGAAGTAGAAGGACTTCTTCGGTTTTCCACAGCTGATTAGTAAAAGACATGGGACCAGCACTCATGTCCCCCAAAAAGCAATTTTCTATTGCTTCTTATTAGCAGTAATTCTCAGCCCTGCGAGGAGAATTACTGCTAGCAAGACGCAATAGAAAATCAAATCAAACCCTGAAACGTAAGGTCTCCACCAGGCTGGTCTGTTAAGGGAGCAAAAAACAGGAGAGGATGGCGGAAGAAGTATTTAAGCAGGAACCTCAACAACAATTGGGCTTTACAGATCACCACAGACAAAAATCAATCTCCATTCACCACCTCAAACTAAATCAGATATCTCAAAGGGACACACATAAACATACACACCACCATCTATGAAAACAAACTCCAAAAAAATCAATTCCATGTTATGCATTTGGACCTTGGGAAATATATTACTCTACTGCAATGGTGATTTTGATTTGGTTAAAAATAAGACTTTTAGAAGTGGACATTTGCCAGACTGAGATACAAAATTACACAATCTTACAGCTGGCAGGGAGTACAGACCTCATTTAACCCAGTTGTTCATTTTGCAAATAAAGAAACTAGGACTCAGAACAGAACAAGCATTCCCATGTTGATCATTTTCTATTGAGATTAGGAGTAAAAGTCAGGCCAGCTAATTTTTGGTTGGTAAGAGCACAGATGTTAGAAGCAAACAAGCCTGTGTCCCAATCCTGGCTCTATCACTACTACCTGCATGACTGTAGCAGACATATTTGTTGGCTAACTTAAACCTATTGTTAATCCCTACATCCCTTTCCTGCCTCCTCTATGAAGCCAGAGAAAGCCAAATACAATTGAGCCTTAATACAGGTTTACCCTGCGCAGAGCCACTTAGACATAGATTTTTTTCAATAAAAGTTACACCAGTGTGCCCAACCTCCTCCACCTCTTCCACCTTTGCCACCCCAAGAGAGATCAACTCCTCTCTTTCTCCTCCTCCTCAGCCTACTCAACATGAAGATGATGAGGATAAAGACTTTTATGATTACTTACTTTCACCTAATGAATAGAAAATATATTTTCTCTGATTTTCTTAAGAACATTTTATTTTCTACCTTTATTGTAAAAATACAGTATATAATATATGTAACACACAAAGTATGTGTTAGTCATCCATAAGGCTTTCAGCCAACAGTAGGCTATTAGTAGCTAAGTTTTGGGGGAGTAAAAAACTATATGTGGAAGTTTTACTGTGCAAAGGGTTGGCTCCTAACCCCCATGCTGTTCAAGGATCTGTTGTACTCATTTTTCCCAGCCTCCCTTGCAGCTAGGGGTAATCATGTCACACAAGTCTGGCCAATGAGATCTAAGTGGAAATCAGCCTGAGGTTTCTGGAAAGACTTTCACTTTTTGTAATAAAAGAGATACATGTAATTAGTGCTATCTCCGTCCTCTTGCTTCTTCCCTGAACACAGACTTGCTGCCTGAAGCAAACACTTCAGGTCATAACCATCTTGTAAGCATGAGTATACAAGCACAAACTCAAAAGCCAACAGACTGAGGATGGCAGAAGGAATCACAGCAGAATGATAAAACTTGGGTCCTTAATGGCATCATTGAAGTGGAATCCTCATCAACAGTACCACCAGAATACTTGTTGCAGAAAAAAAAAAAAAACACGTATTTGTTTAAACCAACATTAGTTTGTTTTCTATTAATTGCAGCCAAAAAAAAAACCGATGGAGTTACCTTGGACAAATTAGTGTCTCTAACCCTCAGTTGTCATACCTATAAAATGAAGAACAACCATACGTACGTCATCAGCCTACTGTCCCTTCATGAATTCAGTTTATATTAACTGAGCATCTACTATGTGGCAGATACTGTTCTGGCAGTTGGGGATATTGTATTAAGAAAAAAAAAAAGGTTCCCATGACTGTGAAGCAGACTTTCTAATCTTGGAAGGCGAAAAATAAACAAATAGACATAAGAAGTGTCATGTATTGTGAAGACTAAAGAAAAAAATGCACGTGAAGGGCTGGGCACAGTGCTTGTCACAGAGTAAGGGTCAAAATAGCAACTGCTGCTATTATCACTCTTGTTAGCATTTAGTAAATGCCGTTTAAATTCTTATGTTTTCCCCAAACCCATATACATATGATTTATTAGAAATATGGGGATCTCAAGTCATCTTAAGATGTCAGGAGGAATCCTTGCACTCTGACCTGCTTATTAACTTTTTCTTCTCAAGTTGAGAACATTCTCTTTTAGACTGTGGGGCTCCAAGGTTCACATACCTTTAGATTTTTCCAGTTCACCAGGACTTGTTCTGACTGATCAAACCAGAAAGACTAATGTGGCTGCAGAGGAAGAAGGAAGTTGGATAGGAATGGGAATTTGCTACAGGTAGCTGCCCTGTCTGCAGCTAAGGACCTGACAGGACTTTCTCTGGAGCAGTTAACCCATGTTAGTGGCAACTTCTCTCCGAAAATTGCCAGGAGGCACCCGAGATTAGACAATAGAGTCCAAAATGCCTTTGTTTTTTCAGATGTCATTTCACTAAGAAACTGATTTCATGTGTGGAAATTACAAAGCGATAGAATAGAGGGTTGGGCTTTGAAAAGTCTTGGAAATAGCATTGGATTAGTCCAGGCTCTGATCTTGAGTTCTGAATCCAACTATTATTTTCTGTGTGACCCCCAAACAATCTCCTCCCTACTCTGGACCCTAGTTTCTTCATCAATACAAGGATGGAGCTGGACTAGGCCATGCCTAGGGGTCCTTTTATCTCTCACATCCTGTCATTCTTTTTTTTTCAAATCATCTTTTATGGTGAGACTCCCTCCTCCCAGCAGCAATGGAACAGGGGTGCCTCTCTCAGCATATTTGCTAACGCCCAGCCGCCAGGGGAAAAAATTGCTGACTGATGCTCTGGCTGCCTCCGTGTTGTTAAACACCTACTTACAGCTCTAATCGGCTGGTTTTCACGCCCAGGAGATGGGGATTGATTGCTGACATTGACCTGGCAAGGAGACGATCCTGCAATCACCAGCCAAAGCCACTTAGGTATGCAGGCTGGGAATTTGGCAAATGATACTGCAGAGGGGAAAGGATGGGGAGAAGAGAGAGAGCATGAGCACAAGAATGGGAGGTGGTTATGTGCAGTGGTTAAGAACATTGCTTGTGAAGTCAGGTGGATCTGGGTTTCATTCCTTTCCTTATCATTTTCCAGCTGTGTAAACTTGGGCATGTTACTTTTCTGCAGCAGTTGACCCTATCACCCTGTCTCAGGGAATGAATCCTGGTCGGTCCATATGCAATGTTAGTCTTTTCTGTTTACCAGTGATTGCTTAAGAATGAACATGTGACCCAATCCTGGCCATTGAGACCTGAGAAGAGTATTTCTGGGTAACTGCCTGGAAAGTTTTCCGTGATTGGTAAATAAGACACCCACAAGCCTCTTGGTCATTAGGATCATCATGCTAATTTAAAGCATCCTGTGACCGTAAAGGAAGACCCTGCTGACAGTATGGCAGAACAAAAGGACAGAAGGAACTAACATCTGTGATGATGTCATTAAGCTGCCAAATTCTTCCACCCTGAAGCTGCCCAGATCACTTGCTGTTGCTTGATGAAAAAAATCAATCCCTGGTACTTAAACTACTTTTAGTGGGTTTTCTGTTAATTGTAGCCAAAAGCCTTCTGGGAGTAGCAGTCATAGTAATTGTTGTTATAATTGCTAAAATTCCACCGTCCAGAGTAGTGTAAAAAGCAAAAATTGTTAGTTAAAGAACTGAGCTCAAATCCTAGTAACTCCCTTTAGCACACTATACTTCAGTTTCCTGACAATTAAAATACAGATCTACCTCTGAAAATGCCTTGAAAAGTCATAAGAACCTACAAAATCTTAGAGAAATATTATTACTACCCACTCTGCAATTGGTAGTCTCTAGGGAAAGCATTGGTAGTTGAGAGTCAGCAGATCGGTTTCTCATTCTAGTTCTGACATTAATTTCCTTTGTGACATTGGACAAGTCCCTTGCTTTCTCTGGGCCTTAGTTTACCTATCCGTAAAATTAAGGTCCTGGACCGGCTTAAATCTAAGATCACTCTTCAAAGTGGCAGCCTATGAATCAAAATGATATCATCTTTTCTTTCACAAACAGCCCCCCAAATAACTATTCTTGGCAGAGGTCACAACAAACTTAGGAAAAAGCCACTGTAAATGTCCTCTGAGTGCTGTGTGTTGTATTTCCTGCTAGTGCACTGTCATTAGCTCTCATGCACAGACAGTCCTACTTTGTGCAAGATCCCACTTGACTCTCCTGTCAGCATTAGGCTGTTGAACAGTACCCTATCCTCATGTCCCGCTGTCCTGGGCAATTTCCCCAGCATCTCAACCAACAAAGGAAACACTGCCTACAAGATCCAAATTTTCCTCATGAATAACATTTATTTAGGATACAAAGATACCAAAAGCAAGAATTCTCAAAATGAAAATATTTTCGCTTGATGCAGTGGTTGTTTAAGAAAACAGACAAAAATTCCCATCCAAACCAACTCAGAAGTGTTTCCAAAATACTCACTGGAGTCCAAAATATGACTCCAGTCATAACACCAGATGGGATGGAAGTAGATGCTATTTTACCCACTTTCCAAGTAGACAAAGTAAATTTGCCTTGCGCCATTGCATGTAGACTGATAGAGAAGCTGCTCATGTGTATACTGTGTGGTCCTTTTAAAAGCCCTATTATATGATCCTCCCAACAGCACTCAGAGGAAACACCACAAAGGGGGTGGCATATGGCACATGGGATAAGATCTAGCTTTGGAAAGAATGACACCTGGAGCCAAAATCTTGCTCTGCCCTCTTCATTCTTTTTCTTTCTTTCCCAATGTGTGTACTACACACCTTTTATGTGCCAGGGACCATTCCAGGCTTTAACGTCACTCTCCAGCACACATACATAATCCCTTCCCAATCAAGTCCCAGAACCCAAAATGTGTGTGCAGTTGGTGGAGCAAACCTATCCCTAGGCCAAAGGGATGAATTGTGCTAGTCTAAGACAGTCATTGTATCCCTCCCAGTCTTCCTTGATTATTATGGGTCTACTAGAAAGCACGTGTTCCAGGTGGAGTCTTAAAGACTATGCAAACCTTTGATTATTCACTAGAAGCATCCAGGGCTCAAGTTTATTATAGCCAAAGGGTACACAGTAGAATCCACAAGGGGAAAAGACACAAGGTGTAATCTAGAGAAATCCATGCACAGGCTTCATTATGCTGTCACCACCTAGTGAGGGGACACATCATGTTCCTTATTCCAGCAGCAAAAAAAAAAAATAAAACTAAAAATGCAGTACCACACGTGCAATGTTTCTGCCTAGGGAAGCCCATTTGAGACTCAGAATCCAAGGTTCTTATTGGGAAGTAGTCATATTAGCACACTGTACCTAGCACATATCAAAATTCTAGATTCTCAGAAGGAAAGCAGTGTTTGGCATAAGTCATCTTATTTGTATAGTTTAGGAGCCAGAAACCACCCTCATTTGTTGGGAATGGGTCAAACACCAAGTTTTCGGATGCCAGCCAAGGGCCAATCTTACACGCAGGTTCTTCTAAAGGGAATAGCCTTTCACCAGCTATGTTAACTCTTTTCTGTAATGTGACTCAGTCCTGATCAATGAGATATAAATAAAAATCTGTTGGAGACTTTCTTTCTGGAAAAATAACATATCCATGAGGGAAAAAAGGTTTTTTTCTCTGTCCTTTTATTTCCTGCTTGTTGGGATGATGAATAAAAATATAATACCTGGAGCCAAAGCATCAATCTTGCAACAATGAGGGGACAAGCATGAGGATGAAAATACAAAACACTGAGTATGGCCAAAAAGGAAGGGAGAGTGTCTGGGCCCTTAAACTAATACCAACAGCCAGCCATCTTCACATTTTATGTCTCATGAGGGAAACAAGCTGCATAGGTTTAAGACACTGCTAGTAAAATCTATTACTTGCAGCTACATTCACTCCTAAATGATAGAACAATCCAGAAAAACAGCAATGGTTTTTTTCTCATGAAGCTTCCAGTCTAGTAGGGAGACAGATGATCATATAATTACACTGAGTGTATCATTGCCAACTGAGACAAGTGCTCTGAAGAAAAGGAATTAAGCCCTATAGGAGCATGGAAAAAGGAGCCTGATCTAGACTGGTTAATGGATAATTTCATTAAAGTTATCTATTTCCACACAATCAATTGCCCCAAAACTTAATAGCTTAAAACAACCATCTTATTGGAGAGAGGGGAACAATGCATCTACAGAGAAAAGCTGCTTCCAGGAAAGACCCAGTAATGGAAGAAGCACAGCATATTGGAGAATAAAGAGAAGGCCAGTTTGGTGGGGGTGCAGGAAGTGAAGTGTGAGGGATTGGTTGGGAGGGCATTGGTTGGAAGGGCATCCATGCTGGGCCTTATAGGCTGTGGTAAATATTTGACTCTGTATCCTAAGAGTCAGTATTTAATACCTGAGTGACCATGAATAGGTCACTTGACCTGAATGTTACTCTTTTTATCTCTTAGATAGGGGTAGATAGTGCTCATACCTAACTTATAAATCTGTCATAAGGTTTAATGAGGTAACATTCACGTAGTAAGGCTCAATAAATGGCAGTTGCAGTTGTTGTTGTGGATGAAAATATGTTTTATCATATTTTTATTATATTACTACATAGGACATCCATTTTGCAGATAGGAAATTGAGGTCCGGAGAGTTTCAGTGGCTCAGAATAGTGAAAAAGCAAGCAGGTGGCATGGATCGAAGTCTTATTAGTCCTTGTAAAGTGTTCTTTCTTCCTCTCTCCTTCCATCAAAGACTATCAGGGGCAGGCACAGAGGCTGGGGTAGGGACTTAGGAGAGAGGACTCAAAAGCTGGGCTGTGCATTCATTCACTGACACCTTCCATATTTTCTGAGGACATTTCCTAGAAGCAGCTAAGGATTTTACAAATTCTATTAGCAGACTGAGTCCTGAGTCTGTGCAAGCTGAGGGGTCAGGAAACTTGTCTACTTGCAAGCAACCCAGAAGTAATGTGATAAAGGGCAAGTGCATTGGCTTTGCCACTAGAGAGACTCTAGCTCAAAACATACTGGCTCTGTAGCCTTGAGCAACTCACTGAACCCCATTGTGCCTCAGCTATCCCATCTCTAAAATAGGAAAAACACCTATCTATAGTGAGAATAAGACAGAAAATGTATGTAAAACATTGAGAGCTTTAACAGTACCCAGTAAATGTCTCCCCTCCCATTCAGGGGTCTAACCCTCAAAACATTAATGTAACACCGATTCATTCAAACCGATTTCATCATCACTGAGGACAATAAAAAGGTGAATCACACATTGGCTGGTGTCTATGCTGGTCTAGAAACCCACCTAACAGGTTCCAGACAAATCTTTCCATGTCTGTTTTCTCTGTACACAACCTCTTCCTTCAGATCCTTGCATAGATGGCTCTTTTCATTCAGGTCTCTACTCAAATAAGGTGGAGTACGGAGAAGAAAGGCTTGATGAGATAGGCTCTCATAATATGTGGGATTTGGTAATATGGAGGTCAGGCAGGGGGCACTTCAAGTGAAAAAACAGTGGGAATTGAAGCTCAAAGGTAGGAAAAATGGTGATACAGTTAGGCTCTGTGTCCCCACCCCAATCTCATCTTGAATGTGATTCCCCAGGTGTTGAGGGAAAGACCTGGTGGGAGGAGACTGGATCATGTGGATGGTTTCCCCCATGCTGTTCTCATGATAGTGAGGGAGTTCTCATGAGATACGTTGGTTTTATAAATGGTAGTTTCCCCTGGGCTTTTCTCTTCTCTCTTCTGCCACCTTGTGAAGAAGGTGCCTGCTTCTTCTTCTGCCATGAATGTGTTTCCTGAGGCCTCCCCAGCCATGTAGAACTGTGAGTCAATTAAATCTCTTTCCTTTATAAATTTCCCAGTCTCAGATGTCTTTACAGCAGTGTGAAAACAGACTAATACTGTAAACTGGTACCAAGGTAGTGGGGCACTGCTATAAAGAGAACTTGAAAATGTAGAAGTAACTTTGGAACTGGGTAACAGGCAGAGGTTGAAACACTTTGGAGAGCTCAGAAGAAGACAGAAAGATGTGGAAAAGTTTAGAGGTTCTTAGAGACTTGTTGAATGGCTTTGACCAAAGTGTTGATAGTGATATGAACAATGAAGTCCAGGCTGAGGTGGTCTCAGATGGAGATGAGGAACTTATTGGGAACTGAAATAAAGGTCACTCATGCTATGCTTTAGCAAAGATACTGGCAGCATTTTGCCCCTGCCCTAGAAATCTGTGAAACTTTGAACTTGAGAGAGATGATTTAGGGAATCTGGAGTAAGACATTTCTAAGCAGCAAAGCATTCAAGATGTGACCTGGATTATTCTGAAAGCATTCAGTTTTATGCATTCACAAAGAGATGGTTTGAAAGTGGAGCTTATGTTTAAAAGAGAACCAGATATTAAAAGTTTGGAAAATTTGCAGCCTGACAATGCAATAGAAAATGAAAACCCTTTTTCTGGGGAGGAATTCAAGCTGGCTATAGAAATTTGCATAAGTAACAAGGAGGGAGCCAAATTTTAATTGCCAAGACAATGAGAAAAATGTCTCCAGAGCATGACAGAGATCTTTGTGGTAGCCTCTCCCATCACAGGCTTGGAGGCCTACGAGGAAATATAGTTTCGTGGGCCCCACCCAGGGGCCCTCTGTGAGCCTTGAGACATGGTGCCCTGTGTCCCAGCCACTTCAGCTCTAGTTGTGGCTAAAAGCAGCCAAGGTACAGCTCGGGCCGTTCCTTCAGAGGGTGCAAACCCCAAGCCTTGGCAGCTTCCATGTGGTATTGGGCCTGCTAGTGCACAGAAGTCAAGAATTGAGGTTTGAGAACCTCTTCCTCTATATTCAGAGGATGTATGGAAATGCCTGGATGTCCAGGCAGAAGTCTGCTGCAGGGGCAGAGCCCTCATGAAGAACCTCTGCTAGGGCAGTGCAAAGGGGAAATGTGGGGTTGGAGCCCCCACACAGAGACCCCACTGGGGGCACTGCCTGGTGGAGCTGTGAGAAGAGAGCCACCACCATACTCCAGACACCAGAATGGTAGACCCACCAACAGTTTGCACTGTGCACCTGGAAAAGCCATAGGCACTCAACACCAGTCCATGAAGGAGCTGCCTAAGGCCATGGGGGCCCACCCCTTGCATCGGCATGCCCTGGATATAAGACATGGAGTCACAGGAGATTATTTTGGAGCTTTAAGATTTAATGACTGCCCCACTAGATTTAGGACTCGCATGTGGCCTCTAGCCCCTTTGTTTTTGGCCAATTTTTCCCACTTGGAATGGAGGCATTTATCAAGGGCCCATACCCCCATTGTATCTTGGAAGTAATTAACTTGTTTTTGATTTTACAGGATCATAGTTGGAAGGGACTTGCCTCATTTCAAATGAGACATTGCACTTGGACTTTTGGGTTAATGTTAGAATAAATTAAGATTTTGGGGGACTGTTGGGAAGGCATGATTGGTTTTGAAATGTGAAAAAGACATGAGATTTGGGAGGGGTCAGGCAGACAGATATGGTTAGGCTTTGTATCCCTACCCAAATCTCATCTTGAAATGTAATCCCCAGGTGTTCAGGGAGAGTCCTGGTGGGAGGTGATTGAATCATAAGGGCAGTTTACCCCATGCTGTTCTTGTAATAGTGAGTTAGTTCTCACAAGATCTGATGGTTTTATAAACGGCAGTTTCCCCTGAGCTTTTCATTTTCTTTCCTACTGTCTCGTGAAGAAGGTGCTTGCTTACCCTTCTGCCATGCTTATAAGTTTCCTGAGGCCTCCCTAGACATGCTTCCTGTTAAGGGGGCAGAACATGGAGTAAATTAAACTTCTTTCCTTTATAATTACCCAGTCTCAGGTAGTATTCTTTATAACAGTATGAAAACTGACTAATACAAGTGGGGACCCTATTCTGAAACACCTTTTGAGGCCTGGAATGTCATTTTAAACATTAATGAGTATTAATACAGTAGAGTCCAAGGCCCTGGCCATCAATCAAATGATCAACTGATTGACTAATATATCTATTTATACATTTCTTTTTTATTGATACATATTTGTATATATTTATGGGGTACATGTGACATTTTACACAGGTATAGAATGTGTAATGACCAAGTCAGGGGATTTAGGATATCCATTGCCTTGAGCATTTATCATTTCTTTGTGTTAGAAACATTTCAAATTTTTTCTTCTAGCTATTATTTATTCAGTTATATCCCATACCTCCTTCCATCTTTCTCTCCTCACCCTGCATCCCCTGTGTGCCTGGACTCTTTCACATATATACCCACAAAGGACCACCTGCCCAACCGTTCTGTTATAAGCCTGGGGACTCACTTGGCAGCAGAGAGAGGAGACACAGCCTTAGAAAGCCCATCAGTACTAAAAATCAGAGCTGGCAGATAATTTATAGGAACATAACTTAGATGCCACAGAGTTGAGTGTATGAGATGCCCATTGGTTGATTCAGAGACAAAGGAATGACAGGAAAAGGAGCTGGAAGAATCTCCAAAATTCCTAGTTTCCCTGGGGTGACAGAATGACTGCCAAAATTATTCTTCATGAGCCACCTTTATGGGTAGGCAGAGCGGAGAAAGCCATATGAGCTAAAACTCAGGGGTTCATCCCTTGAAGCCCACAAATATCCCTGAGCCCCTACTGGTTCTGTCACAGCACTTAAAATCTCTGGTTAGAAATGCAGGCATCTTTAGGATTCCAGTGTTAAAATGCAAATTGCTCTAGGGAGAATCCAACATTAAGCCATTATCTACTATTAGCACTTCTACAGGGATTAGAATCACAAAACCAGAGACTGTCATGACAGGAAGGGATTTTTTTAGATTAGTTTATGAGATAATTTACTAATACCTGGGGCATTAGAACATATATCCTCAGGGGAGAAAAGCCAGCCCATACTCTGGGTCTGCCTCATCCATCTACCGCTCTTCCTTCCCACTAAAATATTCATGCCTTCATTCAACAACCATGTATTGAGCGTTATTCTAGGCACTAGTGACATAGTGACCAAAGTAGGCAACATCTTGACTTCCTAGTGGAAAATTTCGACAGTTATAAAGGAAACCTCCAGTGTTTGATTCCTCGTTCTTAGTCTTCGTGCACACATTCCTGCAGTACATGCCCAACCCTCACCCACATGGCTGTTTCCCTTTTCAGAGAACCCACTGCATTATGCAAAGATTCTCACAGTTTAGTTTAACTGCACACTAATTATTTGTGTATTTTTTCTGCTTTCCCATCCAGACTATAAATTCCTGGAGGACAGAGATATCGTCATACCTTTTTGTAACCCTTACAAAGCCAAGCCCAAGATAAAACACACAACAGGAATTTAAGGCCCACAGTCCTTAGGCCCACAGCTTTTTTTTTCTTACCACTAAACTAGCATTGAGTTGTCACTCTATAGACATTTTTTGAATATACAAATATTAGTTGATTGATATGCAAAGAAAGTATTCCAGGTGGGAGGTCCTGAGGAAATGGTCAGGACACACAAATGGATGGCATTCGGACACTAGACATTTGAGACTAGTACCAGGATGAGAAACAGCAGATACTAAAAAAGGACAGGAAGGTAAAGATCAAGTCTTACCTTATAATTTTTTCAACGCTTAAAGCTTAGGTATGAAGTGAGCTAAAATGCCTTCTAACTTGGCATTCAGTGATTAAATAATTGATCATTTGATTAATCTGACTTGTTGCCTGGTTTATTGCAACATATACTGAGAACCCTCAATTCCAGGCACTCTGTTAGGCTCTGGAGAGGATAGGATTCAGACAAGAATTCAACTCAAACTCTCTATTTGGGCAGATTCTGTGAGACCACTGCATTATGATTCTGAAGGTCTCTTCTCTGGGTGCCCAGAGGGGAGGCAACAGATGAGCATCTGCAGTTCTGAATAGTAATGACTTTCAAACCTTTTGTCACAGACTGGAAATATTCAATGCCGCAGGACTGAAGACGGAAGTGCTCTTGGTGAAGTGGTAAGATGAGGCCTCTTAACCTCCTTAGTGCCCTCGGCCTGCCTGGTTAGTTCAATCATGCCTTCATGTGCTCATTTATTTTATAACTGGATCTGAAACCCCTACCCATTACCTGCCTGAATCTGGCAGTGGAAAACTTGGGTTTCATTCCAAGCTCTTCTCCTTACTGATGCTGTGAACTCAGGCAACTAATTGAATAACAGCGCCTCCGTTTTCTCAGATATAAATTGAGGATAATGATATTGCCTACATCCTAGAATTATTCTGAGGATTACATAAGTTGTTAATGAAAAAACAATTATTTCTGGCACATGGTATATAATTAATAATATTTTTCTATATGTATAATTTGTTCTGGGAATGTATACCTGTCCTCCCAGAACTTACTGTCTCTTGAAGGAGACAAGTAATTACAAGACAATGAGATCAGAGATGTAGTGGGATAAAGAAAGGGATAAAATGAGAGGGTACAGGACAAACCGTGAAGTCATAATGGGGAGGTCAAGGAAAGTTTCTAGGAGAATGTGAAGACTGAAATGAGATATAAAAGATCAGCCCATCAAAGAGTAGATCGGCCCAGGATTAAAAATCTCCAGTGTCAGAAAAGGTACAATCTGTGGAGAAACTGAAACTTCGATATGGTAACAAAACCAAAAGAGAAGATAATAACAATAATAGCCTGGAAGCTGTAAAGCAAAAAGAAAAGTGATAAATTCATTAGTAGACTCAAGAAAGCAGAATCCTAAGGTGGTGGTGGAGAAATGAATAAATGAACAAGTAAGCCACTCAGTTTACACTGAAAAAACACTCAGAGATTGGTGGTACCAGGACCTCTGGAAGGAAGCAAAGTTACAGCTGAACACAACAGGATAGGTTGCAAGTAAATTTAGGTAGTAGCAGAAACTGGCAAAATATTGACAAGTATTTAATTGGGGTTTATACTCTTCTCTCTACTTTGATATATGTTTAAAACCTTTCTTAATAAAATGTTTTGAAAGAGAAAAGTTAGGCCTCCAGATGTCTTCCTCTAATCTATATGGTTGCAAAATTGCCCCTAATCAACTTTGACAGAAAACTGAAAGTTTATTCTAAAAGAATGAATAAAACAAAGATCTCTGAATAGGAAGATATTGGGAAGAGTTTAAGAGGAGGGTATTACACACGCAACAAGGACACTAAGAGAGTAGTAATATCCTGACTACTGAGGCTCCTGTTTTCTCTGATTGGACTACCAAAACAATGACAGCAAAATCCTTCAGACAAGATTTTACCTGAAGAATCTAACCAGCTCAAAACACTCAAAGAAGCCAACATTAGGACTTCTCTCATAAATCTGAGCGATTAAAAAGTCAGGAAACAACAGATGCTGGAGAGGATGTGGAGAAATAGGAGCACTTTTCCTCTGTTGGTGGGAGTGTAAATTAGTTCAACCATTGTGGAAGACAGTGTGGTGATTCCTCAAGGATCTAGAACCAGAAATAATTTGACTCACCAATCCCATTACTGAGTATATACCCAAAGGATTATAAATCATTCTACTATAAAGACACATGCATACATATGTTTACTACAGCGCTATTCACAATAGCAAAAACTTGGAACCAACCCAAATGCCCATCAATGATAGACTGGATAAAGAAAATATGGCACATATACACCATGAAATCCTATGCAGCCATAAAAAAGGATGAGTTCGTGTCCTTTGCAGGGACATGGATGAAGCTGGAAACCATCATTCTCAGCAAACTAACACAGGAACAGAAAACCAAACACTGCATGTTCTCACTCATAAGTGGGAGTTGAACAATGAGAACACATGGACACAGGGAGGGGAACATGACACACCTGGGCCTGTTGCAGGGTGGGGGGCTAGGGAAGGGATAGCATTAGGAGAAATACCTAATGTAGATGACAGGTTGATAGGTGCAGTAAACCACCATGGCATGTGTATACCTATGTAACAAACTTATACATTCTACACATGTATCCCAGAACTTAAAGTATAATTTTAAAAAAGAAAAGAAAAATAAAGGATTGAGCTGATCCTGGAATGAGCCCAGTATTCGGTCAAATGGGAATTCTAGGCAGAAAAATCTTCAAAAGCAAAGGCCCAAGATATGAAAGAGCATGAAAGATTCAAGGACTTGTGCATGAGTCAACATTGATTCAACATGAGATACAAATGCAGAATTAGTGAGAAATGACCCTGGAGGAGAAATCAAGGCCAGACAAGGCTAAGGAATTAGATGCATTTATTGGTTTTTTGTTTTTGTTTTTGTTTTTGTGTGTGTGTGTGTAGGATGTAGACAAGTAAAGACTATTACAGACTTTTCATCAAATGCATTTTTTAGAACGATCACTGGCTGCACTTTGGAGGATGGACAGGAGGGCTAAGCAGCAGGCAGGAAACCAGGACAGGCAGCTTGGTCCATGTGGCAGGGAGGAGGGAGAGACAGTACATGCAGAGAAGGAAAGTCAATCAAGAGGCATGTAAGAGACAGAGCCTACACATGTAGAAAGCTGTTGGATGTGGAAGATGATGGCTGAAGAGTCTACAACAGTATCCAAGTATCCAGCTTGCGTTATATGTACTTGTAACCGAAGGTCTCTCTCTAGATCTTCTATACCATAGTTTTCTAACTTCAGGTCATAACCCATTAGTAGGTTGTGAAGTCAACTTACTGGATTGGAGCCAACATTTAAAAAAAGAAAATAGGAAAATAAATAAATAAAATAAAATAGTCCAATCTGATAACCTTAAAATGGAAACACACATGTACGTAAAACTTCCAATTAGTTTTTGTTCTCATCTTTAACTATGAGCAGAGCACCAAAGATGACTAGATATCTGAGGAGAGACCCTAAAATGAATGGCACACAAGATAGCAAACAAACAAATAGAAAAAAAAGCAAGTTGGTGAAACAAACACCGTGCAGGAAGATGAAAACCTCAGAATACAAAAACTGTCATGAATATTCTCAGAGACAGGAGAAGAGATATTGTATCTATAAAGTAAAAATATAAAGCCATTAAAGGAGTAATTGAAAACATGAAGGAATGCTTCAAAGTTAAAGATTTGATAGGATTAAAATAAAGCTAAGCAAAGGGTTGAAGGAGGAAGTTGAAGACATCTCCCAAACATAAGAGCAAAAAGACAAAAAACAAAAAGCGGGCAATAGATAAGAAAATATGAAAAAGATAGAGAATCCACCCAGAAAACCCAATATCTGTATAATGGGGGTTCTAATGAGAGAGAGAAGAGAAAATGGTGAAAAAAAAATTATCAAAGAAATAATTCAAAAGAATTTTCCATAACCAAAGAACCTGATTTCCAGATGGAAAACCCACTAAAAAGCCCAAAATAAGAGATTAAAAACAGGGCTAAGCTAACGCACATCAATTAAAATTTTGGAATGCTGGAATAAAGAAAAGTTTTGAAGATTCCACAAAAGAAAATAAATAGATTACATACTAATGATCAATAAGCAGATAAGCTTCAGGCTTATTAATGGCAATACTAGAAGCTTGAAGAAAATGCAATTATGCCTTCAAAATTCTAAGGAAAAATAACTTCTAACCCAGAATTCTATACCCAATCAAAAAAAAAAACAGTTAAATGTAGAGACAAACTGAAGATATCTTCAGCTATGCAAATTACTTTAAAATTTTTATCCTGTGCATTCCTTCTAAGAAAACTACTGAAAGAAGTGCTTTACTACAATAAAGAAGTAAAACAAGGATGAGGAAAACAAGATTCAATTCAGGAAAAATGAGAAGAAATTCCTCAGGATGAAGAAAAAGGGAGACCCCAGAATGAAAGTGGTACAGCAAACTCAGCAACAAATGCAACAAATGCAGATATAGCAACAAATGCAGATTAAAGTGGGTTCCTGAGAGTGATATCTCCAAGAATATGTACTTGACAGAATACCTAACATGTCTGAATGTAATGAGAGGAGATTGACACACACGAGGGGGATTACGGCCATTGGGGACAAATTTTGGAAAATTACATTTTAAAAATCTAAACAAATAAAACAAAAAGATAATTATTAACTTCACAGAAAACAAAAAGGGAGGAAAGGAAAAATAATCATGGCACTCTAGATGGCTCAGCAAAGAATAGCATTTACATAACATAAACATATCCTATTCATGCAACAGAATATGCAGTAACTGCATAGGAAGATAGAAGAATGGAAAGTGTATTTGTGTGAATTAAGGGAGGAGCTTTTTGATGAAAGACTACTGACTTCTTATCTTTTATAGCGAGATATCAAAAGCTAAACTGAAAAAAATCACAGAGGCCCTATATGCATATTACTTATAGATAACTTTTTAATCTAAAAATGTAAAATTATTAGGTATAATAGGATGTTTTGATATAAATATTGACAATTATTTGACTCTCTAACTTTTGACAAAATATAAGAACTATACTAAAAGTAAAAAGAAAAATCTTGTGGTCCATTAGTGGGTCACACTTCAATAATGAGAACTTACCTCGTCCAATCCCTAATTACATTTTACAGATAAAGTATCTGAGACCCAAAGGGGTGAACAGACTTGCCCAGGATCACCCAGGGAGTTAGCGGCATTGACAGGTGTAAGTATTAGCTCTTTTAACATTTCACAAACTTACAAAGTTTTTGTTTGTCCTACCCTGCCAATATGCCAAGTCTGCCCAAGCAGGCCGTGCAGCAACTGGGCTTCCATCTACCATTTTTGACTGAGTTTTATAAGAACAAGCATCATGGAAGGAGACCTGCAAACTGCTGCCAGAAGTTTATAATCAGAAGACTAGGACCAGTATATGCCAAGCCCTTGCAGAATACTTCAGCACCCTAGGAACTTACTCTTAACAATTTTCCCTGACTCCCTGACACTGCCCTCTCCCTTCCTCCCTTGCAGCTCTTAGTTATCACAGCTTTGGCTAACTGAGAATTTCACAGATGTGGACCTACCTTTCTTCTTACAGTTAGATTTTTTTAAATAAGATATATCTTCATTATTTTACATTCAAACAATTATGTTTTCCTAACCTCACATCTAATAGACGAAAGAAAACAAACCAAACATCAGAAATAGAACATATATAACAGCTCAGAAGATAGTAAAAATAAATCAAATTGAAAGTAAGATTTAAACATAATAGGGCTCTATTTAATTTAAAATAAGGTTTTATAAGATTGGCCAAAAAAAAGAATCACCAAAAAAAAAAAAGGTGAGTTGTGAGAAAACAAGCACTCTCCTACACTATTCATTGGAATGCTAATCAAGGCAAACTTTGGAAGACAATATAGCAATAGCTATCAAAAATTAAAATTCACTTTCCTTTTGACTCAGCAGTTTCTTTGCTCGGAATTTACCCAAAAGTATGCCAAGATAAATGTACAAGGAAATTCACTGCAGCATTTTTTTATAAAGCAACAATAAGAGAAAATAATAAAACAACCTAAGTGTCTATCAATGACAAACTGGTAAAATCATTAATTATTGTACATTTCTACAATGTAATTATGGGTAACCTTTAAAAAGAATGATTTAGATATATCTTGCTGACATGGAAATATTTTTAAGATAGACTGTTTAGCTTAAAAAAAAGGCAAGATTCAGCACAGTATATTCCCATTTGTTTTACACACACACACACATTTTTTTTTTAGAAAGGTAGAATTGTCATCTTTCGAGAAAGAAACTAGGGCTCAAGAGGAAAGGTCAGACAGAGCTTTGCTTGATTTTATACCTTTTAGAAGGTTTAAATTCTAATCATATGCAAGTATAACTTTCATTTTTAAAAAAATAATGAACTCTAAGGACAGATAACTTATGAAAAGCAGTGAATAAACTCTGTCTCAGAGAAAGAAAATGATTTTCCCAGCTTTCCTCTAATAGTAATAGCAATCCCAGAACTAAAATGTAAAGCTCTTGCCTACTGCGCTGGTGTGCTTTCCATGGCTTCCTCCCTCCGTTCCCTCATCGGTAAAATGGGACCATTTCTTTTCTCTCATCTTTTAAAAGCTATTAGGAAGTGATGCCTCTTGCCTGGTAGTGGTGTATGAGTTACTTTTTCAATAAATGGATGAAGGAATGGGAAGAAGTTAAGTAAGATAATGCCGTGAAATCATGAGGAAAATGTGAAAGGGCTCTGTTGAGATGAAGGATTGCTGTTTTGAAAGAGTTAATGCACTCTGCCTACATGGGACTTGACTGTCTCACCCCTGAATCCCCACTGGGAAAGAAGGTGACTATCCCAGTGGCTTTTCCATCTAGTATGATGGATGAGAGGCCCATGAAGGAAGCAGCCACCAAAGGTTCTGCAGTGGCTCCTGTTGGCTTTCTGATCACATCGCAGCTGGCTGTCAAGTCCGTGGCCCAGCGATTTATGGCGTCCCTGGGCAGGAGGAGCCTGTGCAAGGCTACTGCTGCAGCAGCCCAGGGACAGGTGCCAAGTTCTTGCTCTCCTTGAAGCTGGAACTCCTCCTCCTGTGAGCTGGGAAGTCTCCCTGCATCAAAGTAGAAAGAATGCACTCTGGTGTACCCCCCTGGCCCAGCTTTCTTACCATGACTCCACAGCTGCTGGTGCTATGACTCTGTGGACAACCCAGGTTGGTACAAGGCAGATATCTTTGCCAGATTCAGCTTTCCAAACCACTGACAGTAAGAAAAAAGCCATTTACTATCTCTATCTTCACACTTCAGACATGTGTCTGGCTACTGCAGAATCTCAGGAAGAGCTGAACAAAGAACTCCCCATAATTCATTTAACCTACTGTAATACAGAAAGCTGCAGGCAGCAAGGGTGGTCAGGATAGTGTGCCAATCAAGAGTGGGAACTATGAACTAGAAAAGACCTTTTTCTAAACCCTGGCTCTGCCGCTTGTCAACAGTGTGACCCTTGGCAAGTTACTTAACCTCTCTGTGCCTCAGTTTCCTCAACTATAAAATGATAGCCTTAGTAATAGTACCTAGCTCAGAGGTTTATTATCATAATTAAATTAAATAATCCACTTGAACAGGACTTTGCAAATTACATTTAGTAGGGTATTCAGCAAAATGTGGATCCTGTTTACAGTAAAAGAAAAAGAGATCGCCTCTAGTTACAAGAATCATAAAAGGGTTCTTGAAAGAGTGAGCCCTTTGGATGAGGGTAGTCAAAGGTGCTCAGTAGGAAGTGGATGATCAGAGATGAAGAAGGAACATTCCAGAAACAGGGAACACTGAAAAGGAATGCACAAGAAAACAAGGAAGATGTGTGTTTCAGTGTGGCTAGAATATGAGACAGTTCAGGAAAATTATTGAAGATAAAACAGAAAAGGGAAATTGGCTGTGGGGCTCTAAGGCTAAGGAAGGAGAACCAATTTGACAGCAGGAGCATCTAAGGTGTTTATTGTAAGCGGAGCTGCACTGGAGAAGGAGCCATTTGACAATACCTATCTTAGGACAGAGGAGAGAAGGGGCCACACGAGTTACACAATGACCGCAACAGTGTCGTTGGAACACTACTCTCCCACCAAATCACTCTTCTGGGCAAGACAGCAAACTGCCTACAGAAGCGTCTATGGAAAGACAAGTGTATTCAGTGGAAGAGCTTCTAAAATGCCCCAGATAATCTCTCAGTCTCCTTTACCATAAATGGGGAGCCTAAGGCTATAGCTCTCTTTCCTTCCCAAAGTAATATGTACCATGACTGGATTTGTACGTAATGAGCACTATACTGAGGGTCCTTGCAGAAAACTCCAAGGGCCACTCAAGTCCCTTCTCCCTGGGCTCTGTTTCCCCACCTAATCAAAAACAAGTTTTAATTAGATGAATGTTAATCAACTGTCAGTCATTCTTGACCACCTTCATGATTATTTGCCACATACGCATACCCCATTTTTCGCCCTTTTCTTCAAGTGAAACCACTTGTTTTTGCCTACGCTTAAATAAATATATTTGAAAAAAAGAAATCTTTCTACCACAGCCATAAATAAAAAACTTTTATTACATTCTCTAAAAGAAGATAAGTACTGTAAAAGGCAAAGAAAAAGTGCAACAAAAACAAAGCATCATGAAAATCCAGCTAAATGTCTTACTCTCCCTTTTCTAGGAGGAGAGATTGGCAAGTGTTAATGAGTTGACATAGAGAACCAAATTGAGACATTCTTCTCAAGTTAACTGCAATGATTAAAAGAGAATTGAAGAGGAAATACCTTTATCAAAGGGGACTCACTGTCATTTAACAGGGTACCACTTAAAATCTTTGTAAGCCAGACTTACATGTTTTCACAACTTGGCAAACACTAAACTACGTCATCTCTAAGAATCTTTCCAGTTCATTTTTCTTGTGACGAGTATTCTTTAAGCATTTTCATATAATCAGTGCTTTACAAAGCTTGGAAGATGAAAAAGATAGGATGAATAAGAAATATCCCCTGCTGCTGTCAAAGAGTTTGCAATCCTGTGTCATCTCAGGTCAGCTGAGAACTTTTTCAGCATCACTGGACAATCTCTTCACCTACCCACACTCAGGCTTCATTTTCTCTATTTCTGAAATGTTGAGTTGAACCACGTGTTCACTCTGGGCTCTTCCACATTAGATCAGGCATTAGATTTAACTTTTGATGACCCAGTAAAGCCAAGGTGGGAGAATTTGAAGTTAGGGAAGAGGTTAATACAGGAATTAGGATTGAGATGAATTCAGACAATTACACAGGCAGACGGATCTGGGAAAGGTCTGAGGTAGGTGATGATGAGGGAAAAAAACAAGTCCTGCCAACATATTTGAAGTTTATTCCTAGCCAAAATGAGTGACTGTGGCCCAGAGAAACACAATCTCAAGAGGTCCTAAGAAAATGTGCCCAAGGCAATTGTGTTACAGTTTGGTTTTATACATTTCAGAGAGACAGGAATCACAGGTAAAATATTAAATACATACATGGAAAGCATACATTGGCTCAGACAAAAAGGCAGGACATCTTGGAGCAGAGGCTTACAAGCCATAGGTGGGTCAGGAGATTCTCTAGTTGGCAATTAGTTGAAAGAATTAGGCTTTGTCTAAAGACTTAGAGTCAGTAGAAAGGAATGCTTCAGTTAGAAAAGGGGGTCTGCCATCTCTTACACCATGCCATACCAGAGTCAGGTTGGAGAGTAAGCTATAATATGCCAGGTCAGAAGAAAAACCCATTTAACAAGATTTTATGGTTTCTTAGATATGATTTCCCAGGCACCTTAGAAAAGAATTGTAGCAAGAAAAACAAAAGGATCAGAGTTCAGTCCTCAGTGATAAGTTTGGCTGACTTTAAAATCAGGGGAGTTTGGGATAGACACTTTAGAAAACAGTTTGGCTGTGTTTACTAAATCTAAACATATGTTTATACAATGATCCAACAATTCCATTCCTTAGGGGAAATCATCCACACTATTCTCTCCCCTCTCCCATCTCTGATCTATAACTCTCCTTCTCCACCTGTATAAGAATGTCCACAGTAGCTTTTTTCATAATTGCCAAAAGCTGGAAATGATCCCAAATGATCTGCAGCAGGAAAATGGATAAATAAAACATGATAGACTGATAGAATGGAATACTATGCAGCAATGGAAAAGAATGAGCTATTGCCATACTTAACGTGGATGACTCCCATAGACATTACACTGAGCACAGAGGCTAGACAAAAAAGAGTGCATGCTGTATTATTCTCTTTATAGGATATTTAAGAACTGACAAAATAAATCTATCATAATAAAGGTCAGAATGGTGATGCTTGTGAGGAAAAAGTTTATATTTAAGTGCAAAGAGCATAAGGGAACCTTCTGGGCTGCTGCAAATGTGCTATACTAGGTGGTAGTCATACAGATGTATGCTTATATAAAAATTCATCAAGCTCTACAATTAGAGTTTATATATCTTATTGTGTGTAAGCTGTACCTCAACAGAAAAGTAAATTGAAAAATAATCAAGGACACCAAAGGCTGATGAAGATATTAGGTTGATCCAAGGACAGAAGAGGTTAAATATTTCTTGAGGAGAAATGTTTGCTCTGACCTGCCCCACTGTCCAAAGCCACCTCTTTGCTTCTACAGACCCTCACAGTCTTACAGTGACCACGTCCTCAGGTAAATAAAATGGTATGATGGGGTCTTAACAGATATCAGGTATTGGAAAGTCAAACTATATAAATGGGCTCCAATGTAGGATAGGACCTATATGAAGGTGAGTGGGGAGAGGCAAAGACCAATGATACCAATGCACTGTATTTTTGGAGCTATGTCCTTAAACCTCCACCAACCACTCAAGTGCTAACCCTGAAACCAGGACAGACAGGAAGTGTGGTAGAATATATAGGATTATGTCTTTGGAGACATTGATCCAAATTCTGGCCTATCACTAATTTACAGTGTCACCCTGGATGATGAACCCCATTTCAGGCTTAGTTTCTTCATCTGAAAAGAATGGTCAGTAGATTGGACTATTGACCATTAACTTTGAGGGATCATGAAGATTTTTGAGACCCTAATAAAAACCATACATTCCTTGCCCAGAAAAAATGCCCATCCACACAGAGTTTTGTATTGTATTTCAAGGGGCTTGAAGACTATCCATGGGATGCATATTAGGAGTCCATCGATTGTGCGATTTTTAAGATTCATTCCAAGGATGCTTTTTCTACATTTCTTTGTTTAGTGCTGCTACTGCTACTGCTAATACTCTTTCTTTCCTTTGTTCCCACCCCATTTTCAACCTCCTTAGCTGCCAAGACCACTAATTCTGATCTGCCACTTCCAGATTAGGTTGGGGACCAAAGGGGATTATGATGGACACACACAGCTGGTCCCAGCCCAGCATTCACCCTGCCCATGAGACTCATCCAAATCTTAGGAGATATGTATTTGCTGGGGAGGCAGAAAATCAATTAATTGCTGGCTAGCTAGAAATCATTTCTTTCAATCATAACTTTTTAGTAATAATTAAAACATATAAAGGGCAGGGATGAAACAGTCTTTTTTCTCTTCACTTTCCCTTTCCTGTGATATGGCTGGGAGACAGGCCTAGATACTTAGGAATCAGGCCTTTTCTTGCGTACAGATGTGTGTGTATATACGTAATTGTTTGGGAGCTGCATTTTGTTAAAAAACAATTAGATATTGCTGAACTCTAAGCAATATCTAACTCTGTATCATTAGGCTTTCCTTGTCAAAGTCAGGCTACTGCTAGATATCTCCCTTTGGTGGAGGTGGAGAAGGAGAGTTATAAATCAGAGATGGGAGAGGGGAGAGAATAGTGTGGATGATTTCTTAGTTCTGGGAATTAGCCAAACCAGCGAAACAGGTTTGGAAGAGAGTTGGATAGAATGTCTGTTCTCATTTTTGCAGGGGTTTCCCTAAAGGCCCAATCAGGTCCTTCTCACATCTACACATCCACTTTAAGTCACTTCCCATTAGAATCCTATTCTCCTAACAAATTGCTGAGTTCTTGGTTTTATACTCAAGAAACAGTAACTCAAAAAAAAAAAACAAAAAACCTTCCAAAATTTAAACCAGTAATTAATGGTGAGAACATCAGGCAATTCAGATGGCAGGGGTGGCACTTAGTTATCTTTATACTTGCTCTCACATCCCCCCCATAATAGAAATCTACTTTGCACTGCAAGTAACTTAGATTTGAAGCCAGACCTTACCCTCCATTACCTGTAAGATATGAGATGTCAGCTGTCTTTTGTGAACTTCAATTCCTTGTCTCTGAAACCTATCATACCAACTACTCCAAAGGACCTTAGCAGGAGTAAAGGGGAGCCCACAGGTGGAGACTCTCCCAGTACATGAAAGTTTCCCCTCTGCCCTTACCGCAAGAGGCCTGTTTCCTGATGGGCTGGATTGTGACAGTCCTGCTCTTCTGAGCCACCAGGGGAGAGCAGAGCACAGCCACAGAAAACACAGCCAGGCCAGTGGTGGCAGGAGGGTATCACCCCTGACAAGAACCCCTGGAACAGGAGATGACAGGCTGGGCTGTGAGCTCCTAGGATAAAGAGACTCTTTCATGACACCGAGTGATATGCATTCATGTCTCACATACCAATTAGATCATGCATTTCTTATTTAAAAAAAAAAACACTCTGCTGTGGGATGACTGACATATTAAAAGCTGTACATCATTAATGTATACAACCCAATGAGTTTAGAGGTAAGTATACATCCATGAAACCATTACCACAATCAAGACCATGAATCTATCCATCACCTCCAAGTCTCCTCCTTCTAGATCAGCAGTCCCAAACTTTTGGCACCAGGGATCAGTTTCATGGAAGACATTTTTTTCATGGATGATGGTATAGGGCGGGGATATGGTTTCAGGATGAAACTGTTCCACCTCAGATCATCAGACATTAGTTAGATTCTCATAGAGAATGCACAGCCAAGATCTCTGGCACATGCAGTTCACAATAGGGTTTTTGCTCCCATGAGAATCTAATGCCACCGCTGATCTGACAGGAGGCAAAGCTCAGACAGTGATGCTTCACCTGCCACTCAACTCCTGCTGTGCAGCCCGGTTCCTAACAGACCACAACCTGGTACAGGTTTGTGGTCTGGGAGTTGGCAGCCCCTGCTTTAGATCATGCATTTCTTAAGCACAGAATTCGTTGCTGTTTCATCCCTGAGGCTGACTGAAACATTCATTCATTTAACATCTAGCTATATTGCACCCAGTACATATTGTGGAGATTCTGGTGCCAAACTGACTGTGTGTGAATCCCCATTCTGTCTCTTTCCAGCTGAGTTTCCCAGGGCAAAAAATATAACTTCTCTAAGCCTCATTCTCTAGTTGTAAAATGGAATAAAAAGTTTCTTCTTCAAAGGGTTACTTGAGTTCTAACTGAGGTTATAGATATGAGATGCTTAGCAAAAAGCTGAGCACAGAATACATGATCAGTAAAAACTAGTTATAATTGGTTGTTGCTGGGGCTGGGAATGTAAAAGTGAGTAAGACCTGGTCTCCACCCTCAAGAACTTCTCAGTGTAATAGGAGACAGATAAGTAAAGAATTGATTCCAAAAAGTGGGAGTAGTGTGAAGTGAGAAGTGCATATAGGCTGCAATGGAAAGGGACCCCAAATCCATACTTGGGGGTAAGAAAAGCCTTCCAGAAGGTGACATCTAATCTTAGAAGACCAGAAGGGTGAGTAAGAAACAGTACAGAAACCTGGAGGCAAGAAGCAAGAGACTGGCACCTTGGGTAAATGACATTCTGAATGGAACAGAGAGCGTGAGAAGAGAAGTTGAAGAACATAGGGTTGGAGCGGATATCAGGGACCAGATCACAGCTCCTAGTACCATGCCTTGAATTCGATCATGGCTCAATAAGTGTTTGTTCATGTAGCAAATGAATCTGCCCATTTTATGGTAGAAACAAATGAAGCCAGGAAAGGTCACAGTTTGTAGGTAGCAGAGCCGGAACAGAGCCCAGGACGCCGATTCCCAGTATAGCCATTCCATTGCAACACCAGCTTTTTGAAAGTGAACATTTTGGAAAGTCTAAAGTTTAGGTCCCTTGAATTGTGCTAATAATCACCCTTGTCAAGCTGAGCAACAAGAAGCTAGGTGATCCAATTGCCTCTCTCCCATCTTTATTGTTTCACATTCTCTGAGTTTAAAGAGTGGGACTAAAATACTCAAGGAAATCATTCCTCCACTTGGAATGTCAATATTGGAAATTAAAATTTTACTTCTGGAGGCCAAGATGGGAGGATCACTTGAGGCCAGGAGTTTGAGACCAGCCTAGGCAACATAGTGAGACCCTTTGTCTGCAAATAAAATATGAAAGTTAGCTGGACATAGTAGTACATGCCTGTAGTTCCAGCTACTTGGGAGGCTAAGGCAGGAGGATCACTTCAGCCCAGGAGTTTGAGGTTGCAGTGAGCCCTGCACCATTGCACTCCAGCCTAGGTGACAGAGTGTGACTCCTACTCTGAAAAAAAAAAATGACAGATGAGAAAAAAGGAAAGCCATACCATGGAGCTATCACTGTAGTCCTTGTTCATTTTCCTTTGCAGGAGTCTCTGGCTCCTGAGGGAAGACAATATATAAAATACACACACATTTTTGAGGAGTGGTTTCATAGGGAGTGCTGATCCTTTGGAAGCATTAAAGGAGAAAGAAATGAAAGTGGCAATTGATATAGTTCAATTTGGCTGAGCCAAGGGAAAAGAAATGACTATAAAGAAAAGAAATAAGAATTGTGATGGTTTCCAACATTTTGCAAGCAATGGCTAGAATTTGGAACACTATGCTAAAGCAAAGGCAAACCAGAAAAGAAAGAAGTTGAGGGTGATTTTACTTTGAAATGGGGGTGGGGAGAAAGAAATCATAGTGTTTAACTCTGTGGTAAAATGTGCAAATGGAATCAACACCGTTCGTTCATTGACAGGAATGCGCATTCACCTCAAGGGCTGACAATGGATAAAGCCTCCTCAATGACAGTTCAGACTTCAAAACCTGAAGGTTCTTCTGCAAAAATATAAGGAGAGACTCCTTTCAAAGCTATTATGTGGATAATACAGACACTCAAGAACACCAAGGCTATTGTGGGAATGAGAGGTATGGCTGGATCAGGGACTGGGATATTTTTACAAAACAGTGTGTTATGTTGTAGATAAAAGAAGGGCATACTTCAGAGACAGCTCAAAGATGGGGCACCCAAAAAAGGAACACATTTCAAGAAGAAAATTTAACCTCCCTCTCTTTTGACATCAAAAGGCAATCAGTTTCTGCTCTATGCTTTGCCATTTCATTACACTGCCTTGGGTTCTCTAACAATTTTACATAATCCCCACTAATACATATTGGTTGAGGATTCCCATTATGTGAAAAGTAACTCTACTTGATGCTAGGTGGGCCTCAACAAAGAATAGGACAGAACTCCACCCAAGAGAAGTTTACAATCTAGTTTAGAGGCAACAATACATGTAGGAAAAGGAAATGACTATACAAAAGGAATATATATAAAGCGTTCCCCCTCACCACACAAAAAAAGAACTAGTAAGGGCAACAACTACTATAGAAGTTCAAAGTTTAGAAATTTCTGCTGTTCTGTTGCCCTAACAAGGCTGGATACTTCATATAGGTAAAAGTCCTGTTTTCAGATTTTTTTTGTACATACTCAAACTGCCAGGCTGAGAGAAGTTTACTGTAGGACTCTTGCCTTTAAGCAGGTCCAACCCTAGAATTATGACTCTGCAGACTGGTTGTTGGGAGTGAAATAATAGCAATTATAGCTAATGTGGATATGCTACTTACTCCGCACACAGAATAGTGCTGTGGTTAAGAATGGAGAAGCTGCCACCGAACTGCCTAAATTTGAAACCTAGTTTATTTGTTTGTTTGTTTAACTTACTAATGTGCAACCTTGGATTACTTACATAAGCTCTCTGGGTCTCAATCCTCTCATTGTGAAGGAGGAGATAACAGCAGTATCCCCTAATACCTGTCTTCTGGTATTCACACCCATGTTTAGTCCCCTCTCACATTGTACTAGAGTTGGTCTGTGTGACCAGTAACATACAACAGAAGAGATGGGATGCCACTGCAGCCTGGGTTATAAAATACATGGCTTCCATCCTACTTGCATCAGATCTCTTGCTCAGAAAGAAGCTGGCTGCCATGCTGTGAGCAGTCATAGGGAAGGACCCACGTGGAGAGAAACTGAAGGCTCCTATCAACAGCCAGTGAGGACTCAGGCCTTCCAAAAACCACAAGTGAGCTTGGAAGTAGATTCTCCAGCCCCATTTGAGCCTTGAGATGACTACAGTCCTGGCCAACAGCTTGACCACAACCTTGTGAGAGACTCTGAGCCAGACCCACCCAGCTAAACCCTCCTGGTTTCCTGAACCTCAGAAATTGTGAGAGATAATAAAAGCTTGTTGGTTTAGGCCTCTAAGTTTTGGGCTAATTTGTTACACAACAATAAATAACTAACATATCCATCTCATTAGTTTATTGTGAAAAGTAAAGGGGATAATATGCCTGAAGCATTTGGTGCCTGGCACTTCGTAAATAGTGAATAAATAGTTGCTAATATTATGGGGAAGACACCATGCAAAGTGTGGTGCACATGTGTGATCCATTTACTTCTCACAGCCCTGTGAGTTCCACATAGGACAGCCACAGTTTATACAAATTTGAAATACTTTGATACAAAGGTAAAATCTCAAAGATGGCCAAATAGGAACAGCTCCAGCCTGCAGCTCCCAGCAAGACCAATGCAGAAGGTGGGCGATTTCTGCATTTCCAACTGAGGTACCCGGTTCATCCCACTGGGGCTGGTTAGACAGTGGGTGCAGCTCATGGAGGGCAGGCAGAAGCCGGGTGGGGTGTCAGCTCAACCAGGAAGCGCAAGGGGCCAGGGAACTCCTTCCCATAGCTAGGGGAGGCCATGAGGGACTGTGCTGTGAGGACCTGTGCTATCGGCCCAGATACTAGCCTTTTCCCACAGTTTTTGCAACCCGCAGACCAGTAGATTCCCTCAGGTGCCTACACCACTAGGGACCTGGGTTTCAAGCACAAAACTGGGCAGCTGTTTGGGCAGACACCGAGCTAACTGCAGAAGTTTTTTTCATACCACATGGGCACCTGGAACCCCAGTAAGACAGAACCATTCACTCCCCTGGAAAGGGGGCTGAAACCAGGGAGCCAAGTGGTCTTGCTCAGCAGGTCCCACCCCCATGGTGCCCAGCAAGCTAAGGTCCACTGGCTTGAAATTCTCACTGCCAGTCCAGCAGCCTGAAGTCGACCTGGGATGCTCCAGCTTGGTGCAGGGAGAGGCATCTGCCATTACTAAGGCTTGAGTAGGCGGTTTTCCCCTCACAGTGTAAACAAAGCCACCAGGAAGTTCAAACTGGGTGGAGCTCACCACAGCTCCACAGAGCCTCTATAGCCAGATTCCCTCTCTAGATTCCTCCTCTCTGGGCAGCGCATCTCTGAAAGAAAGGCAGCAGCCCCAGTCAGGGGCTTACAGATAAAATTCCCATCTCCCTGGGACAGAGCACCTGGGGGAAGGGGTGGCTGTGTGCGCAGCTTCAGCAGACTTAAATGTTACTGCCTGCTGGCTCTGAAGTGAGTAGCAGATCACCCAGCACAGAGCTTGAGCTCTGCTAAGGGACAGACTGCCTCCTCAGGTGGGTCCCTGACCCCTGGCCTCCTGGAGGACACCTCCCAGCAGGGGTCAACAGACACCTCATACAGGAGAGCTCCAGCTGGCATCTGGCAGGTGCCCCTCTGGGACAAGGCTTCCAGAGGAAGGAACAGGCAGCAATCTTTGCTGTTCTGCAGCCTCCGCTAGTGATACCCAGGCAAATTGGGTCTGGAGTGGACCTCCGGCCAACAGGGTCTGGAGTTGACCTCCAGCAAACTCCAGCAGACCTGCAGCAGAGGTGTCTATTAGAAGGAAAACTTAACAAACAGAAAGGAATAGCATCAACATCAACAAAAACGATGTCCACACAGAAACCGCACCCAAAGGTCACCAACATCAAAGACCAAAGGTAGATAAATCAACAAAGATGAGCAAAAGCCAGCACAAAAAGGCTGAAAATTCCAAAAAAACAGAATGCCTCTCCTCCTCCAATGGATCACAACTCCTCTGCAGCAAGGGAACAAAACTAGATGGAAAGTGAGTTTGACGAATTGACAGAAGTAGGCTTCAGAAGGTAGGTAATAACAAACTCCTCTGAGCTAAAGAAGTATGTTCTAACCCAATGCAAGGAAGCTAAGAAATTTGATAAAAGGTTGCAGGAACTGCTAACTAAAATAACCAGTATCGAGAAAAACATAGTGACCTGATGGAACTGAAAAACACAGCACGAGAACTTCGTGAAGCATATACAAGTATCAATAGCCGAATCGATCAAGCAGAAGTAAGGATATCAGAGATTGAGATCAACTTAATGAAATAAAGCGTGAAGACAAGATTAGGGAAAAAAGAATGAAAAGGAAGGAACAAAGCCTCCTAGAAATATGGGACTATGTGAAAAGAGCAAACCTACGATTGGTTGGTGTACCTGAAAGTGATGGGGAGAATGGAACCAAGTTGGAAAACACACTTCAAGATATTATCCTGGAGAACTTCTCCAACCTAGCAAGACAGGCCAACATTCAAATTCAGGAAATAAAGAGAGCAGCACTAAGATACTTCTCAAGAAGAGCAACCCCAAGACACATAATTGTCAGATTCACCAAGGTTGAAATGAAGAAAAAAATCTTAAGGGCAGCTAGAGAGAAAGGTCAGATTACCTACAAAGGGAAGCCCATCAGACTAACAGCAGATCTCTCTGGATTAACCCTACAAGCCAGAAGAGAGTGGGAGGCCAGTATTCAACATTCTTAAAGAAAATAATTTTCAACCCAGAATTTCATATCCATCCAAACTAAGCTTCATAAGCGAAGGAGAAATAAATTCCTTTCCAGACAAGCAAATGCTGAGGGATTTTGTCACCACCAGGCCTCTGGAGCTCCTAAAGAAGACACTAAATATGGAAAGGAAAAACTGGTACCAGCCACTGCAAAAACATACCAAAATATAAAGACCAACGACACTATGAAGAAACTGCATCAACTAATGTTCAAAATAACCAGCTAGCATCATGATGACAGGATCAAATTCACACATGACAATATCAACCTTAAATGTAAATGGGCTAAATGCCCCAATTAAAAGACACAGACTGGCAAACCGGATAAAGGGTCAAGACCCACTAGTGTGCTATATTCAGGAGACCCACCTCACATGCAAAGACACACAGAGGCTGAAAATAAAGGGATGGAGGAATATTTACTAAACAAATGGAAAGGCAAAGAAAAGCAGGGGTTGCAATCCTAGTCTGTGGTAAAACAGACTTTAAACCAACAAAGATCAAAAAAGACAAAGAAGGGCATTACATAATGGTTAAGGGATCAATGCAACAAGAAGAGCTAACTATCCTAAATATATATGCATCCAATACGGGAGCACCCAGATTCATAAAGCAAGTTCTTAAAGACCTACAAAGAGACTTAGACTCCCACACAATAATAGTGGGAGACTTAAACAACCCACTGTCAATATTAGACAGACCAACGAGACAGAAAATTAACAAAGATATTCAGGACTTGAACTCAGCTCTGGACCAAGTGGACCTAATAGACATCTACAGAACTCCCCACCCCAAATCAAAAGAATATACATTCTTCTCAGCACTGCATTGCACTTATTTTAAAATCGACCATATAATTGGAAGCAAAACACTCCTTAGCAAGTGCAAAAGAACAGAAATAATAACAAACAGTCTCTCAGACCACAGTGCAATCAAATTAGAACTCAAGATTAAGAAACTCTTTCAAAACCGCACAACTACATGGAAACTGAACAACCTGCTCCTGAACGACTACTGGGAAAATAACAAAATGAAGGCAGAAATAAATAAGTTCTTTGAAACTGATGGGAACAAAGGCACAATGTACCAGAATCTCTGGGACACAACTAAAGCAGTGTTTAGAGGGAAATTTATAGCACTAAATGCCCACAAGAGAAAGCAGGAAAGATCTAAAATCGACACCCTAACATTACAATTAAAAGAACTAGAGAAGCAAGAGAAAACAAATCAAAAGCTAGCAGAAGACAAGAAATAACTAAGATCAGAGCAGAACTGAAGGAGATAGAGACACGAAAAACCCTTCAAAAAAGCAATGAATCCAGGAGCTGGTTTTTTGAAAGGATCAACAAAATATAGACTGCTAGCCAGACAAAGAAGAAAGGAGAGAAGAATCAAATAGAAGCAATAAAAAATGATAAAGGGGCTATCACCACTGATCCCACAGAAATACAAACTACCATCAGAGAATACTATAAACACCTCTATGCAAATAATCTAGAAAACCTAGAATAAATGGATAAATTCCTGGACACATACACCCTCCCAAGGCTAAATCAGGAAGAAGTCAAATCTCTGAATAGACTATTAACAAGTTCTGAAATTCAGTCAGTAATTAATAGCCTACCAACTAAAAAAGCCCAGGACCAGAGACATTCATAGCCGAATTCTACCAGAGGTACAAGGGGGAGCTGGTACCATTTCTTCTGAAACTATTCCAAACAGTAGAAAAAGGAATCCTCCCTAACTCATTTTATCAGGCCAGCATCACTCTGATACCAAAACCTGGCAGAGACACAACAAAAAAGGAAAATTTCAGGAAAATATCCCTGATAAACATCAATGCAAAAATCCTCAATAAAATACTGGCAAACCAAATCCATTAGCACATCAAAAAGCTTATCCACCACGATCAAGTCAGCTTCATCCCTGGGATGCAAGGCTGGTTCAACATATGCAAATCAATAAACATAATCCATCACATAAACAGAACCAATGATAAAAAGCACAAGATTATCTCAATAGATATAGAAAAGGCCTTCAACAATAT